>NC_000002.12:103247193-103550224 GCF_000001405.40 Homo sapiens
AATGTTCAATATTATCTTATTTTTAAGAAATATTTGACAATTCAATAATTTGAAAAAGATATTTTATTATGTTTATAATTTGCATTATATGACTACAAATAAGATGGAACACATTTTCATATATTTAGGAACTTTTCATAAGTTTTCTGTGGACAGGCTTTTCACAGCATTTGTTCATTTTTTAAATTGTCTTTTAAAATCTTAATAATTTTAAAAGTTCTTTATTTATTTTAAATATGAATTCTTCATCAATGATATGTGTTAGAAATTTCTTCTCTAAGTTTCTGGCTTGTCTTTTGGATTGCATAATGGTCATTTTATAGACAGATGTTTTAATATTAAATGATTTAAGTTTATCTAATGTTACTTACACTTACAGTTAGCATTTTTTTTGGACATAAATTCTTCATTGTCTTGAGATCACAAAGATTGCCTTATATTGTCTTCTTAAAGTTTTATGTATTTAGCTCCTACACTTAAGCCTTTAATTAACCTACTATAGATTTTGATGTGTGTTTAAAGGTGGGAATCCAATTTTATTTTCTCTCATAAGAACAACCTACTTGCAAGTTAACAAATTAGTTTGCAATTGTTACACAGATATTGACAGAAGACATTTAACTATGGGTCAGAGACAAAGGACATCTTATTTGTCACAGCAATATAAGTAGCTAGGATGTCATGATTTTTGCACAAGTTTTCCAAACTGCAATTCTCACAGAATAATGTGAAGAGGGCTAGGTGACACCTATGCACACAGCGGGTTCTGTTACAGGAGAATAACACTACGATTAAGAAGCCCTAATATTTTATAATGAGCATTGAGCCTATCTAAACTGTGCCTCAAAGGGAGACAGTATTATTCTGAACAGTAAATAAATCTGCCCTTGGAAGAAGACACTATTTCTGTCCTCCAGGTTGTTTGCAATACAAGCATCCTTGAAAAGATAGCCCACAGAAAAGTAGCCAATGCTTCTGCCCACAAGATGTGCAGAAACATGAGAGACTTACTGGAAAGTGTCTTCTAGTTATGTTTTTTATTATCTAAGAAATTTCCTTAAGTCATAATTTGGTAACATGTTATCTCTTTATAAAACCATACATAGATAATAATATTCTATTTATTTCTTCTTTCTCTAGGCTTATCCTATTTCTTCTTAGCTAATTTCTAAGTTGGATCATTTATTTATGAAATCTGAGCATTTTTTTAAAGTATTCAAGGTTAACATTTTCTCTTGAGAACTTAGCTTTAGTTATATCTCATAGATTGTTACTATATTTCTGTTATCATTCCTTTTCATATTCTAATTTTTCTTATGATTTACTACTTGACCAATGAGGTATAAAATATGGTTTTCAATGCAAGTATGTGGAATATCTCTAATTATCTTTTCTTATTAGTGCTTTCTAACTTCATTGTATTGAGGTGATATCAGAGAAAGCTCTGTGTGACACAACCCCTTAGATATTTTTTTGAGGCTAGCTTTATGATGTAGCCTTTCATCAATTTTCATAATTGTTTTGTATATTCCCCTTAAAAATAAGTTGTCTTCAATTGATGGGAGAGATTTTTATATATACCCATTATATGAATTTTTATACTTTTAATATTCAAATATTGTATAGCCTTATGTGTGGTTCATTTGTCCTATTTTATAAGTATGATCTGTCATCAGTTGAAAGATGTATGTCAAAGTACCCACTAGGAAGGCATATGAACGCATTTGGTTTGAAGCCTTTCAAGTTATCCCTTACATATTTTTGAGGCCATATTACTACATGTGTTAGTTTAGAATTGTTATATGTTCCCAGTGAAATAAACTTTTATTTTTTATTAATAAAGCTTTTTGTATTAAATAATATTTGATCTGAAATTAATATGGCTACATCAGATTTATTTGGTTAATACACACCTAGTATGTCTTTATTTTTATCTTGACATCTGATTTTACTTTACCCTTAGGTTCAAGGTATATCTCTTAGAAAAGATGTTTACTTTGCCTTTTTTTGTTTTGTTATATTCTGTTTTAAATACATATTTAAACTTTTATATTTTATTTGAAAATCTAGCCCACTAATATTTATTGTGATCACTGTTAATTTTATAATTATTTTTAACTTCTTATTATTATTTGTCTTATGTTTTTATTTTTTCTACATTTTCAGTATTTCTTTTATTCTTCCCCTTCCTTCTTACCATCTTTTGGATTTGTGGAATTTGTTTTGTTTTGTTTTAATTTTCTCCTCGTGTACTCATTTGGAGGTAAACCTTCTCTATATATTTCTTCAGTGATTAGTATGAGGAGGCAGAACTGTTTTTACATATTGAAAAAAAGGAGGACTATATGGAGGCACCCAGGTGATCCACCTGGGCCCCTTTTGTTATTCGCATGACCAGTGGTAACTGTGAATGAAAAAGTGTTGCCACTGGGCCAGAAAAGAGTGTGGTGACCAAGGGCTTACATTCTGAACACTAGGAGTTAGGGTCGCATTACCAGCCAAGCCTCTCAAAGCTGTAGAGGTGAAAGCTGAAGGTGAGGGTAATTCAGAAGAGGAAGTGTATGGGAAGAGAATGAGTTACGGTTGTGGCTTCAAGAGTAACGCAATGGTGGTGGTATATAGTTCCTCATAACAACTTTCCTTTTCTCATTTCCACTGAGGAAGCCCATGGAGGAGCTTCTCTCTGAATATGTAAGGTGAAGTGGGTATTTTCCATATACCCTGCAGCTTGTAGGGCATACAGCCATGCTCAGATATCCTTGTAGAGACGAGCTGCTGTGAGGTGTGCAGAGTGTGGTGGCTTCCAGCTGCGCTGCTTGATATCTGCCTTTGAGCCAAGTCATAGGCAGCTAAATTTCAGCCAATGGCTGAGTGTGGTGGGGAATCGGGGCTTGATCATTTCTGCCCAACACAGTATCCTCCCTGGGCAATCCTTTTACTCAAGCTCCCTATGGGGCTGACAGAGTTTCTCCGATGTGCAGTTGTCTGTGTCTTCTCCTACCCATCTTCCTTCCTTCTCCCTCTCCTTTTGCCAGAGTCACCAGACATTCCTTGCAGTCTCAAGACTTTCCTTGCTTACTCTCACTCTTTACCCCTTTGTTTGTCACAAGCATTATCAACCAAAACCTCTTATGCTTCCAACTTTGCAATAATATCTACTGCTGAGAGGAACCAAACTAACATTCATGATTAATTCCAGGTCTCTAGATGAAGAGAAATATCTATCAGTAGGTAGGTTTAAACAATTCAATAAGTAATTATACTATTAACAATCTATAGACTGTTTGAAAAAAAATACACACAAATTAAAAGAAAACGTATTAATTTTATTTCATAATGAGTAACCACAGCTATTTACTAGTAAGATGTGTGTGACCATTTAGTGGTCTACAACTCCTTAAACCGTGGGAAAAGGTCAGGCACTGATGCATCTCTTCCTGTTACACATTGATGTTCATGTTCACTTGAATTTCCATCTTCACAGACTCGCAAAGATATAAAGCCATTGAAAGGATTGTAGCATGCTGTAATATTAAAACCATAACCAGGTTAGGAATTTACTCAGAGTCTGATAGACAGCAAGTATTGTTGTCCTTCCTTTGAAAATTTTAGTCATCCAGTGACTTCTCTGTAGCCCTGTGTTACACCTTAGGGTTTACTTTGGCCATTTTACTGCATCTGTTTTTCTGAAGGTTCTTGCTCATTGTTCTTTGTCTGTTTATTTTATTTTTTATTTTAATTGTTTAAAGACTTTATTTTTTTGGAGCAGGTTTAGGTTCGCAGCAAAACTGAGAGGAAACTGCAGAGATTTCCCATATACCCCCTGCCCCACACATACATAGCCTCCCCTAATATCAACACTCCCCTCCCCAGAGTGGTACGTTTGTTGTAATTGATCAACCTACATTTGCACACCATCATCACCAAGAGACCATAGTTTACATCTGAGTTCACTTTTAATGGTGTACATTCTGTGGGTTTGGTGTATATATAATGACATGTATCTACCATCATGGTATCATATGGAATAGTTTCACTGCCCTAAAAATTTCCCGTGCTCCATCTATCCATCCCCCCATCCCTTTAACCCCAGATATCTTTTTACTCTTTCTACAGTTTTTTTCCAGAATGTCATATAGTTGAAATCGTATGAAATATAGACTTTTCAGATTGGCTTCTTTCACTTAATAATATGCATTTTAAGCTCCACCATGTCTTTTCATTTTTTGTGTGTGTGCTCATATTTTTTAGTGCTAAATAATATTCTATTGTTTGGGTGTACTACTCTTTATTTATCTATTCATTTACTTAAGGACATCTTGGTTTCTTCCAACTTTTGGCAATTATGAATAAAGCTGCTATAAACATTTGTGTGCAGGTTATCATGTGAATGTTTAGTAATTTTAAATATAAGCCATTCCTCTTCTAGAAATATTTCAGAATTCTGTGAGCTCCAGAGGGAATTTGCTTTTACTTCTGCTATTTGCCTATATGCATTACAAATCTGTTTTCCTTTAATTTTAGACTTCATACATATTGGGAATTCAGAATGAAAACCCATGTCAGGGCTCATTTGTAGTTCCAAATTCCCAGGAGAAAGATTTATCCCCTTCCGATTGGCATGAACTTTGAAATAGCATGCTGCCTTGTTCTTTACCTTCCCTCACCTTGCTCTTCTACCTTTGTCCTTTCATGACAGTAAAATCTTTGAGTTTCCAGGTTTGTGTGGGAAATCTCCTGTTAGATTTCTTCCTACATGGCCTGGTCCTAGGCTTACTGTCTGCCTGCATGACCTATGTAACTCTCAGTGTGGAAGCTCAATATTTCAGGATCTGATGGGAGCCCTCAGGATGGAGGCTGGACTTCCTATCTCCTAGGGTGCCTGGTGTCACTTCATTTTGCATATGTGTGTGCATGTGTGTGTGTGTGTATTTAATACCAGGTCTGCTCAGCAATATATTTAAAGAGTTAGGGATTTTTGTTTTCTTTTTTTTTTTTTTTGTATTTTGGTTTTTTTTTTTTCCATAATATAGCCTGTATATTACTTCTTTCCCTAGGGAGGACTATTCATAGTATCTGATTTGCCATAGTTCTAGAAATGAAAGGCTCTCCATTCATTCTTCCATTCATTATGACCTGACTCTGACTCTCCAACTTTATACACTGCTTTCAGTGAAACCACTCAAACATTTTTTGTTACCAAGTCCCATGAACATGCTTGTGTTCTCCTTCATCTCAACTTCTGTGAGGCCACAACATCTGGGAAAGTTCTTTTCTCCCTGGTCCGTACCTCGATTTCTCCAAGCCCAATGGATGTACTGTTCTTTTCAGTATTCTGTCAGAGGAGCACTTTTTTTTTTCATTATACATCCAGTTAGCGTGAGAAAGTCGCCTTATCTGCTCCTCTGACTTCAATTAGAATCTAGATAATAATAACTCCCAAATCTGTATTTTTGTATACCCAGACATATAACTAACTGTACCCATGATGTCGTCTATAAAACAGGCTTCTATTCCCGTTCAGGGAAGATATTTAGAAATTATGAGAGAGACATTAAGAATAGCACCCATTCCTTACGACAGTACTGGAAAACAGCTTTCTAATTTGAGGTGGGGCAGGTTGCAATGATATCTCATGAACATGATAAGTGTGGTTTATGGGAAATTATCCCTGAGGATTCCATATAAAGCTGATATTCTAATTCTCATAGAATAAAGGAAACTACAACCTGGAATGAAGAGCTGTTTTCTCATCCCACCACCCACCATCCACCTCTGCTCACACAACTCTCATCTTGCCTTCCCCAGAGACTCGACCTACTCACTTCCCTTGGATATTTTTGGTTCAAACACGTGTCTCCTCAATTTGAGACATTAACAAATAGATGCAAGTCTAGATTGGAGAGTTAAGTATTTTGGAGGGAATACTGACAATTCTGGAAGACAACGCAAGGGAGAATTAATAAAGAAGGATGGACTAGAAAGAATGAAAGAAGTAGATTTAGGAAAGGCAGGAAAGTGTTTCCCCAGGGGGCATGAGAGGGCCTATGTAAACCAACCTGCAATCATGGGGAGGATCTTGAATTGTCTGAAGTGGGAGGTCCTTCATCTTATGTTGAACATGAACTCACAGTACCAGGGCTTCGGCTGGATGTTCAATTTCCCATCCTCTTTTTTACTTTGCGGAAACTTCAAGATTCAAGCCTGGAGCCTGGAGGGAAATAGTCTCCCCTCACTTCCCATGTGCAGAATCAGAGAAAATTTCATTTATCACAACACTCCTTCTTCTACAATGCAATTGCACATTTCCTTAATTCTGTCCTTTACCATATTCTAACTTGAAAGTGAAGACTGGCTTTTGTTTCTAATCATTATTTTCTACCTTCTAGTACAATAAATATTTTACTGAAAACCAAGAAGTTTTGAATACACTTCTTTTAAAGAAATACCTATGAACATTAAACAGTAATATTAGAAGCATGAACAGAGAGATCTCTGAAGGCTCAGACAGCTGCATTAAGTAAAAACAAATGGCTCTTTCGGATTCTTTGTCTTCTCCCATTCCTGACTTTTGAGATTATACTTCATAAAAATATAAATATATTTATTATTAGATATTTTAATGATATTTTACAAACATAGAATCAAAGAATTACATATCCATCAACTACACACCAAGCATGATGTTTTGAATCTGAGTGATTTCTATAGCATGTTCAACAAAATCTGTGAATATGTTTGGAGTATCAATCTATTTCCTGGGGAAAAGAGAGGGAAGGGATGCTACAAAGAGAAACAAGCTTGGTTATCCCAATACAAAGTACATCCTAAAGGAGGTTTCAACAGATTGACATGGTAATAAGGCCATTTGCTTTCATAAAATCATCTTTGTGGCTACATACCTAAAACATGCCTCATTTTCCTACCTGACTCAATTTGGCCAGGAGACAGACCCATAATGGGTTTTGCTTGTATAATATGCTTTGCTGAATATTTCCCCCAGATAGAGGAAGAGAGCAGGAATAACTCTCTGTATTGTGCTACTACTGTTGAGAAATGCCGCAGGCATTGAGCCATAAAGAAGTTCCACGGGAGCTTTGTGAAAGGCTTAAAAAGAAAAGAGGCTCTAAGATGAGGAAGGATCCCAGCAAAGAACATGAGAAGGAGTGCCTTCTTGGCCTGCTCTCTCCTCTCTCTTCTACATCCTCCCTCATGTGTCTATTTGGTTAATCCACGAAAAGGGCACTTCACCTATCAGATGGTTTTTAAGGATATGACATTGCTGAAATGATGTCAGTAGAGATTTATTTGAAATTATAATACTATTCAGAACATATAGAGTATGTCAAATACTAGCTTGTCCAAAATGTATAAAACGGACTTAGAATCTTTTTTTTTTAATACAGAAGCTTAAGCGCTTTCGTGAAGTCATGAATATTTAGTTTCAATGTGGGAAATTCACACCATTACATGGAAAATAGATTCCTCGTAGGAGATCCCAGCCCAAGTATTCAAAGGGCTTTCAGGCTTTGGAGGTGAAAGAGAGACAGTTTTTCTTGCCATTGACAGAGCGTATGTCGCCTGGTTATCTTCTGCTTTCAATCCACACAGCAAGAGGCATTTCGGCTGTCAAGCAATGACACTCTATCAAGGAGGCTTTCAGAAAAAAAGTGCTAGGGACAGAGCATGGCAGCATTAGCCAATGACATCTTCTCAGGACCCCTTTCTCCCTCCCTAATTTTTTTTAAGAAATAGAGTAAAAAATATTTTGTACAATCAAAGATGACCTTATCCTTTTCTTTATTTGGTAGGCTTCATCCAAGAATGATAGCTGGGGCACATTAAAGTCTACTGCTGAGCATTGGAATGAGAGCCAGGGAATTCTAATCTTTCTTTTTTTAATTTTTTTTTGTCTCCACAATCCTGTGCTTAATAAATTTAAGCAAATCATCCAGCCTCTCTGTGCCTGAGCTTCTACAGCAACCAAATGAGGGTATCAGTATTTGTTGTACTCTCACTTTTGGAAAATTTGTCAGGAAATGTACACAATATGTGAGTGCATGTATGGGAATGCACCTATGTGTATAAGAGTGTGTGTGTTTGTGTGTGTGTGAGTGTGTGAGAGAGAGAGAGGAAGAGAGAGAGAGAGGGAAAGAGAGAGAGAGAGATTATTTTGTGGGAAGCAAAAAGATTAGAGTGATAGCTAAGCCTTATATAAGTATGCCATGAATTATACTATTATTTTTGTTGTACTATAAGATGGTTTATAGAAGCTAAATGCTATTTAATATAGACTGTACATTTTCTGAATTTAGAATAAGTTAGGGAGCTTTTACTTACCTTTGAACATTCACGTTTGGATGTTTCAAAGCAACCGGACAATAAAACTTTATTCATTGATATCACATTTCACTGATACTTTAAGAGCACTTTATATTTTTAGAAATGATGACTTACGTATTTCCAGTTGTAGAATTTTATGGTAGGATCTTACTTTAAATGCTGCCATTATTTTGTATGTAAGGAAACAGAGGTGTGGTGAAGTTCTATGATTTGACCAAGCATACAGTGTCAGAGCCAGGACTGGGAAACAATACACTTGGTGACAACGTTTTGAGGAAAACCAGTTTCAAAGTGGCTTCTCTGTTTAGGAATTATTCACTCTGTTTTCATTATATATGGCCAAAAGCTATTATCTCAATGCCCTGGGGAACTTTGTCTAGTATCTCTCCAACCTTCCATTGTCCAGATCAAATATTGCTGTGTCCTTAGACTGAGGGTTACATACTGATTCTTCCTCTTTTCTCTCTCAAATTCCTCAGTCGACTCTGTAGGTACCTTGGGTGAATTTCTGAGAGCTGATTTTTTAAATATATTTCACAACTAAGATGTTGCATTTAGACATAATTGCCATCTAAAATAAGAGAAGTAAATGAACTAGGCTGGGAATATTGGTCACTCTGAGTCAGAATGTTGCAGGGGTCCTGGCACAAATATCAGAATGCATCCGAAGGTGCATAGGTGCCAGAAGAACACCTATGACCCAATCCAAATGTTGGGAATACACATGGAAGGCATCAGTCCTGGCTCCTTGGGAGTATCATATCGTTAAAGTCTGGGGTGATGTAATTTATTTAATTATCAGTTTAATAACATAAGAATTCTAAATATCTGTATATTAGTCTGCCAGGGGTGTTACAACAAAGTACAACAAACTGGGAGGATTCAATTACACATTTATTGTCTTGCCACTCTGGAGGCTGGAAGTTTGAGATCAAGGTGTTAGCAGGGTGGGTTCCTCTGCAGGCTGTGAGGGAGGGATCTCTTCTAGGCCTGGTTCCTTGACTTGTACATGTTTGTCTTCTCTATGTGTCTTCTTGCATTGTCTTCTCTCTATTAATAAGTGACAGCAGTTGTTTGGGTTAGGGTCCTGAGGACCTCATTTTAACTAGATTTCCTCTATAAGTACCTCTCTTCAAATAAGGTCACATTTTCAGATTCTGGAGGTTAGAACTCCAACAACTTTCTTTTAGAGGGATACAATTCAGCCCATAGCAAGGTACTTTCTTTACTCCCTGCCTTCAAAGTGTAAACTATGGCAAGTCTTCCCCCACTGTTAGGGGCTAAAGATGAAAAACAAAAATGATACCCTGAGACAGTCTGGCATTGGATTGGGGATTGGAGGAGAAGAAGGGTTGCTTGGAATTGCTCTACTGGTTGAGATTGTCATAGAATCAGGCCATCTTCCAAAGAGTGTCAGAGCATCAGACAGAGTTTGGGGAGTCTGATACCTCTGGACTACACTGTTGTCCTGGTTCACTCTCTGACCTCTAGACAGGGTCTTTTCAGTTGGGCACTGTGTACAACAGCCCTTTCTATATCCGAGAGAAGGATTCAGCCCTCACCCAGTGGTCAGAGATGTGGGGCAGACAGAACATGCTTATGCTGCTGCTGGTGTCCAGTACATTACATGTGAACTCTCCCCTTATTCAAGGAAGAGCTCTAAGTAGATAAATCAATGATAGACTGGATAAAGAAAATGTGGCACATATACACCCTGGAATACTATTCAGCCATAAAAAAGAATGAGTCATGTCCTTTGCAGGGACATGGATGAAGCTGGAAACCATCATTCTCAGCAAACTAACAAAGAAACAGAAAACCAATCACCGCATGTTCTCACTCATAAATGGGAGCTGAACAATGAGAGAACACATAGATACAGGGAGGGGAACATCACACTCCAGAGCCTGTTGGGGGGTGGGGGGCTAGGGGAGGGATAGCATTAGGAGAAATACTTAATGTAGATGACGGGTTGATGGGTGCAGCAAACCACCATGGCACATGTGTACCTATGTAACAAACCTAAATAAATCTAACTATGTTAATAAAATATAACTGACAGTATCTTAAATATATGGCTGACATTACAACAAATAAAGGAAAATCCATAAAGCCTGAAACATTGAGAAACAAAATCTAAATGATAAGTAATATTGATGCGTTAACATTCCTGATGGCATTTGCTTGTCTGTGTAACCAAGCTATGTGTATTTCAATGGAAATGAAGTGAAGAAGATAAGGTAGGCTTGGAGCTGAGGCACTGACCTAAAGCTGGGTATGGACCTACCTTTAGCAAAAATGTAGACTAGAAAAAGGAAATTCATCATTCAATAAGGTAAGAAAATTAATGAAACTTGTGTTGGTCTGAGCTTTGCCTGGAAAAAATGTCATACCCTGAGAATTTATAACCGTGATACTGCCCCACATGGGTTTGAGATTTGAACTTAAACTTTCTGCAAGGTAACAGAAAACTGTAAGTTAAGAAATTAACATAAAAACTCATCCACGAAGTCACGCAAACAAGAAATACAGAATGTATCCCCTCCCAAGAAGTTGAGACAATGAAATGATCAAATGCAAATTATAAAATAATTATGTTTAAGATGAGAAACCTTCAGACAGTTTTTCCTAATGACTATATTAAATTACCTTCCCACCAACAAGATACAAGTGTTCCCTTTTCTTTACATAAGTTTCTTTTGTATGAAAAATACTTACCAAGGCAGTTTTTAATGAAGGAAACACAGAACATCTTAAGAAAAATCCAGCTCCCCAAGTCTCTCACATTCCCCGCCAGCATATATGGACGTGGACGTCGGCTGTTGAATGAGAATTCATCAGGCATAAGCGGTGCCCTTTGCTAATGTCACTGGGTGTTTATGCTGTCCCAAATTTTCCATGTCACTTGAATATTCTTTATATTTTAACTATGTTCTACTCTCCAAGTATAAAAATCTTGTCTAAATAACCCCACACACTCCTAAGTATTTCATCTGAGATTGGGTAAAGGAAATGTCAATTTCCCAGTTACACCAAGTCCAGCTTTTAGACATATCAGAGGTCCATCCTTTAAAGTGGTACTCATACTTTAAGGCTTTTCATCAATATTACGATGCTATCTTCCAAAAAGATAGCGTGTTTAATAAGATGAAGGAACACCTGGTTTGAGATGATATATTCAAAGTAAGACCTGAAATAAAAAAATCGCCACTGATGTATTAATATCAAGGAAGACATGCATTTCCAACTGTGTAATGAGAGGTATTTGTAAACAAAACAAATTTTTGTAAAGTAAGGTAAGAGGCTACAATTAATAAATAAATAAATTTCTGTAAAGTAAGGTAAGAGGCTATAATTAGTAATAATAAACTGATATATTAGTTGGGAGCCTGAGGCAGGTGGATCACTTGAGGTCAGTAGTTCAAGACCAGCCTGGCCAATATGGTGAAACCCCATCTGCACCAAAAAATACAAAAATTAGCCAGGTGTGGTGGTGCACACCTGTAATCTCAGCTACTCTGGAGGCTGAGGTGGGAGAATCGCTTGAACCTGGGAGGCAGATGTTACATTGAGCCAAGATTGTGCCACTGCACTCCAACCTGAGTGACAAAGTGAGATCCTGTCTCATACATATATATATATACACATACACATATATACACATATATACATATATACACACATATATGTATTAGTATTATTGCTCATTACAACTTTCATCATTATCATTTCTCTTTTCAGTACTGAGCTCTTACTAATAAGCTAGAATAAACCAGGTTATTCCATGGTGGCAAACAACCAGTGTATCTCTCTGCTTAAAGAAAGAAAGAAAGAAAGAAAGAAAGAAAGAAAGAAAGAAAGAAAGAAAGAAAGAAAGAAGTTTTATTTCTTGCTCATGCTGCATATGCAGCACCACAATATGGCTGGGGACTCTGCCCCAGGCTGCCTCGCTCCAGGACCCTGAGTGTTGAAGCAACCACCATCTCAACTGGCAGATAATTCGGGAGAGAATTTCATCTGCACGTTAATGGTCTGGCCCCAAAGTGCTATGCATCATCATATCTGCTCACAGCTCGTCAGTCATAGCTCATCACACTGCCCAAGCCAACTTCAGTGGGACCAACAAGTGCAATAAGAAAAACTGAAAATATTTGGTAAGCAGCACTCATGAAAATCAGCATATGCTCTTATCATCACTATTTTTTGTTGTTTATTTTTCTTTCAACATGCAAAAATCACTCTCTCCACCTGAAGGGAGCCAGGCTAGTTCCATTTACTTTGGACATCCAGTCTATCATTGATGGGCATTTGGGTTGGTTCCAAGTCTTTGCTGTTGTGAACAGTGCTGCAATAAACATATGTGTACCTGCGTCTTTATAGTAGAATGATTTATAATCCTTTGGGTATATGCCCAGTAATGGGATTACTGGGTCAAATGGTATTTCTTGTTCTAGATCCTTGAGGAATCGCCACACTGTCATCCACAATGGTGGAACTAATTCACACTCCCACCAACAGTGTAAAAGCTTTCCTATTTCTCCACGTTCTCACCAGCATCTGTTGTTTCTTGCTTTTTTTTTTTTTTTTTTTTTTTTTTTTTACGGAGTCTTGCTCTGTTGCCAGGCTGGAGTGCAGTGGCATGATCTCAGCTCACTGCAACCTCTGCCTCCCAGGTTCAAGTGATTCCCCTGCCTCAGCCTCCCAAGTAGCTGGGACTACAGGTGTGCGCCACCATGCCCAGCTTAATTTTTTTTTTTTTTTGTATTTTAGTAGACACAAGATTTCACCATGTTGGCCAGGATGATCTCGATCTCCTGACCTCGTGATCCAACTGCCTTCACCTCCCAAAGTGCTGGGATTACAGGTGTGAGCCACTGTGCCCGACCTGTTTCTTCACTTTATAATGATTGCCATTCTAAGTGGCATGAAAGAAACTTTATTCTAACTGGCATGAAAGAAACTTTATTGCTGACATCTTTTTGCTTTCTCATTTTGGTAACAACTCTGTAGTCTTTGACCTAGCCATTCTACTTTTAGGCATTAGAATGATCACCACAGGCATCATTTATAAAAAAAATCAGCATTATCATTGTCATTATCACCATCGTCATTTATTTAATTGATTAATTAAAGGACCAAATTGTTCTTTGTTAAATACATCTTGGTATGTGTAAAGAGTTGAGTGGTATTTGTGGCTGGACATACTAGTTCTGATGAAACATTAGGAGTTAAAACAGTAAATAATAACTTATTATTATATTATAATTATTATCCCAATAAATGCTTTACCAAAGTAAAGAAATTCATTGACGTACTTTTATGCTCTTTAAAAACTTTCTGATTGCTTTCTCTTACCCTTTCCTTTATCTCCCTCTATAGCAAAGATCTCATGACTCTCTATAGAAAAACAAATTATAAAAACAAGCAAACAAATACACAGAAAACAAATGAGGTTCTCAAGAAAGGAATTAGCCATAGTTCTAATTTGTGTAACTTTCAGCCATGGTTTGCTAACATAAAGATTATCTGTAAATCAAGCATCTGCTCTCTTGCTGGTTGGTAGCCTTTTTTTTCCCCATGCTCTTTCACATCAGCACATTGGCTCCAGAATACCCAGAATTTCAGAACTCCAATAAATGATGCGAGGACCTGGTTGCAGGAAGAGTCATCCCTTGAGAAGTCTGTATTTTGCCTAAAGTGACAGTAAACAGTTTTTCTTCCCTCTACCAAAAGTCTCATTAAGTATGCCCTTCGGTGCCAATTTAGAAAACAAAACAAGAACTTAGAGCAAATTTCTGTTCTTATTCCATATTTTCTTTTCTTCTCTGGTGTTTGCATATTGAATTTTATTTATCATGCTCAAGTATAGTATGTATTTTATTTTTTATTCTCTTTTTCTCTTTTTTTAAATTTTTTTCCCAAGGTTAAACTCAGTCCTCCACAATTTTGATCATCTGTTGCCTTTTGTTTTATATGCCTTTTTCCTCCTGTTCACAGCATTATTGGAAGGAATACATCATTATGAAGCATTTTTTCAAAATATAAAGTGGTGATAAGTAGGTTTAGAATAATTAAAAGCTGTTCTTAGTTTCCTGTTCTCTTCCATCCCATCATTTCAGTTTTGAGGATTTCCTCACATTACTCCAACTCTTTATATTTATCCAGCTTAAAATGGAAGTGAAAGCACTGTTGAGTTCTCAATTCCTCTCCTCTGGCACTAGGCTTCTGTCTATTTCTTCATGCATTTTTCATCTTCCATTAATATTTATTGATCATCACAATATGGTAGGTGCTGTATAGCAGAGAAGACCATCCAAAGCCACTTCAGCCACTGATGATACAGAAAATGTCTTCTCAGCTGCTCTTGACTTCAGCAATACCATATCTCTCTGAGTACTTAGAATCCACTTTCCAACAGTCATTTAGTCTTAAGAGAAGCTTTACCACTTTTCCTGTAGCTTTATGCTCTCCCTTGAACTATTATTTACCATTAAATACTATTCATGTATTCATTCCTTTTTTGCTGTGAACAACATTTGTGGGTTAAAAATTGAAGTTTGAAACCAATAAAGAATCCACTTCATAGTTGTTATAAATAATAACCCTGTTTTACAACCTTGGCTCATGACTGAAATGTACCAGTAGAAAGGGTATTGATTTGTACTGGATTCCTTCTTGTTTCAGTCCCCAGATTAGTGTCAGGTTGTTCTCTATTAAAATATTGTTTTGGTACATCCTCCTGCTCCTAACTTACCATACCTGGAGGATCATATAGAGCCTGCCTGGGGAGATGGGCACTGTCATCATGGATCCCAACCAAAGATGGCAGTGGGGAGGCACTGCACTGGTCTTTGGGATGTGCTCACATTCTCCCGCATCCTTTATTGATTCCCCATAGGCTCAGGGTTCTGCTTTGCTTGTGTCCATAGTGCAATCAGAACACAGTTATTGATGATGGCAGATACCTACAGGCCTTCCTAGCTAAGCTTTAGCAGAGTTGGGGGGCAGGGGGAAAATGGAGGGGAGAAATCTGGCCCTGTCTACCCCAAGATGTATTGCTCTTACTCTCCTGTGTGGTCATTGTAAATCTAATATATCAGATGCTATTTTCAGGGAGCCTCATTAAACTGTCAGGAAAACTTTCAAGGGAATAACCAGTGTCTCAGTAAACAACATCTCATAATAGTTGTATTTATTTCTTTATTATTAAAAAATGCAGATGAATCCACATTCAGAAACTTTTCTCATTTCTACAATTATTTCTACGACCCCAGTTAGATAATAATTATATTTATTAGCAGTACAGAAAATAAATAATACTTTGGGTTGAAAACAAGTGCTATCCTTTTATAAATTTTGTCTATAATCTGATTTGAAAAGTTTGATGTTTCAGTATTAGGTAAGGAGGTAATGAAAATTTTTATTATTTGGTTTTATTGAAGAACAATAATTAGAGATTCTGTTTTTTAATTTCATTTTTGTTTTATTTTAGTATTACAATGGAAAACAAAATGAATAAACAAAAGTTTAGAGAAAATTATGGTGAAGGAATATAAAGAAGGATATATTTGTGCAGTCAACAAAGACATAGTTGTAAAATGTATGAAGAATCGGTAATTTGAACATATTTTTAATTGCACTGGGCCTTTTTGAGGTAACAATGTTCTAGATAGAGAACAGAATCTCTGTGAAGAGATTCTAGTAAGTGCTACAAAGTATGTCTCTGAGATGCTGTTGCTTCTGTAAGATAATTGTAAGACTTAGATGATGTTACGTCTAATAAAATGTACAATTATAATATCAGAGGTTGATTTTGTTTAAATGATTATCTGAGTAGGAGAAACAAATATAAAGGTGGAAAATGATGGGAAATGATTGGTTTAATTTTTCCCTACTTTTTAACAAGCTGAGGTTTTGTTTATATGTGACCTTGATTTCTCTGGGGAAGAAATCAGAACCATATGGCAAAATTAATCTAAAGAAGCAACACAAACTAAAACTGTGAGAAGAAATTGCAGCACTCATCAACACAAATAAACACAGAAAAAAAATAAGAGAGTCTGGGCTCACAGCACATCTCCAACTGAACACGAATCCGGACCCTGTTTTAATGATATCAGGTAACTGGTTGCATAGGCAAATTAGATACTTAAGTCTGGAAAATATTTGGGCTTACCATGATTTCTTATTTATTGTCTTAACATAGTTACAATGAATTAGGACTTTGGATAAAATAATTAAATCTGACTTCATCTCCTACCAAAAGTTCTAGAGCTGGCCTTCTGTGGGAATCGATGAAATTAGGGAAGAAATTTTGGTGGGAAAGACTCAGTAGAGAGGTAAAGTTAAAATAGAAATGCATGAAAGATACAGTTAATTAACTTTCTATTGTGCATACATTTCTCTTTAACAAGTTCACTATATATTTTTTGAAATTGATACTAAATATGTTGATGTTTTCACAAAAGGTTGAATAGAGCTTTATGCCGTAGAATTCATTTTTGGAAACTCACAAATAATAGGGAGTAAAAGGGTGGGAAATTAGCTAGACACTGTTTTATTTATTTGGGATTTATAGGGACCCCTTCTTTAAGCTCATAATCCTGCGTTTCAAATTTGCTACTGAATCATGATTACTAGATGGAATTTACAGGATCCACTCAACATAAAATCTTAGTACTGCTGTGACCAACTGTGGTCATCACTACCTCCCCCACCTCTCCCCAGGCTCCACCCTCGTCCCTAGAGCCTGCCCTCCAGTCATCCTTGTTTATTCAGCCCTGAGACATTGTGCTAAGCTCTGCCCCATGGTATCTTATTTAGTTTCTACAACATTTAAATGAGATAAATACAATTTTTATTCCAATTTTACAGATAAGGGGATGGAGGCTTATGGTGGTTGAGTAACTTATGTGAAGTCACATAGCTAAGAGATGGAAAGCTGGGCTTTGAATCCATGGAGTCTAATTCCAGAGCTTGCATGCTAACCTCCAAACCCTGTGCAGTGCATTCATCATGTCTGATGTGGGGGAGGAAGTGCAGCCTGGTGCTTTGGAGCAAAGCAAATGTAAATGGCCCACCTGGGGACTGAACCTATGACCTCAGCATGATTAGCACGGGGCCAACGAACTAACTGAAAAGCAGAAGCATATTATCCAGAATCCTCTCATACGACTTGATTGTTTTCAGGGCATGCTATGAAAGTTGAGAGGGAAATCTATTAATTTTATTTAAACACACACACACACACAACACATTTGACCACTTCAATTCTCATTTCTAGACAAAAAAACTTCAATTTAGATATATAGACAAGTTTGCATGTGCATATACTTCCGTATAT
The DNA here is from genome assembly GCF_000001405.40 of Homo sapiens. NCBI lineage: Eukaryota > Metazoa > Chordata > Mammalia > Primates > Hominidae > Homo > Homo sapiens. Next base: position 103,264,880 of record NC_000002.12, read on the forward strand.
ATGCAAATGCATACGTATGTGAATACCTGCAAGCATAAACAACTGTAGATACAAAATGTGGACCTCAACATAATTGTGCATTGATACAGGACCTCTATTTTTGTTCTTATATAATTAATGTAGTGCATGTGTGGTCTCTGTACGTATGTGTATAGTGACCAAAGCATCACCAATCTTGCATTTCAACAAAATTCCTGTACTTTACAGGCATTACTATTGTCACTGAAGCTCTAATGACAGAAAGATTGGACACTTTTGAAAGAGAAATTTATTTTTATGCTTTTAAAATGAAAACATAGTGTACCTTTCATTTCAAGCAGATGTGGGAAAATCTGAAGCTCTGAGCTGCTTTCTTCTTTCGGGAACTCTAAGGGTTTCTGCATAAAGTTTAAGTGATATTATGCCTTGTGGAATGAAAACATAAAGAAGGTATTATTTGGTGCTAATTATGCACAATGGTTTTATTTATGTTTCAATCACAGGGAAACACGAAAACAGCAAGGTGCTAGAGACAGCCAAACCTAGACCCCTCCCAGGTCTCTAATTTTCATCCCTGATGCTCTCTGAAATGGAAACAATCACATGTCAAGGAGAGAAGGGTAAGAGTCATTGTGACTATTCCTCTGTGATCTCCCCTGAAAAGCAATTGCTTTATCATCGCCAAGAATTTCTGAATCCAAGTTAGAAAGGAAAAAAAAAATAAAAAAACGCTTGCCATGTTCTTAGTACCATTTGCCTTGACAGGAAAAACAACAGCATCTTGCCTCCTCAGCTTATTCCTCATCAGTGAACTCTTCCCCAAACAAGACACTCCACATCAGCCATTTGGGATCGCTTCCATCAGTGTTGTAACGAGCTCTTCTATGCAGTTTGTACTCACTGCAAAATGTACCGAAGCCAAGAGCAAGGAGTTGGTAATCTGGGCACCCACAGTTGTGATGAGGCATCTTCAGTGTAATCGTCCAAATCAAATATTTGGCTGTGCTTCTTCAGATGCGATATCTCATATTGTCACTGTTGAACTGGCAGAGGAGCGGAGCTCGCACTGGAAGAGATGCACCCGAGGGAGTTGGGGGACGGGGTAGACCGGAGGGAGAAGAGTCCTCACAGCGTGCCTCCTCTTCCTGCAACACCTCTCGCCCTTTGTTCATCTCAGTCATTCCTCTAAAGCTGCTGCACCCCTTGGACAAGGGCCAAACCTTTATAAAGCCAAGGAAGAATGGTGGAAAAGCACATACGTCTTTGTGGTCGAATTTTCCTTTAAGCAGCAAAGATTTCAAATAATAGTCCTCGTATTACTAGTATTTCACTATTATCCACTTCTAAGCTGTTATCTGTGATGGTGACATGGCGGCATGCTTTTGAAATGTACCTTCTAGTCAATGTAGCAATTTTCACATATGTTATTTCATTAGATTCTTAAGACAACCCCATAAGCTAACAGTACAGCTCAGGAACCGTTTTCCCCTTTTTTGTAGAAGAGACCCTAAGGCCTAAAAAGGACTAATAGCTCATACAAGGAGCTGGGAAGTTATCCTCAAAATCTGTGTCCACTCTTCCCGTCTGCTATGCTACATTTCCAGCAGGACCGTGATTGCTTTTCACAAAAATTTACGGGTATTTTAGGGAATATTCACTCTCATATCAGAAATGTGTCACCCTGGGTTGTAAATTTTTCAGACTAGAAAACCTCTGTGGATTTCTATAAAATTTGTCACAAACATAATATTGCTATTTATTTTTTTTTCTTTTATGGTTGAGAAGGAAAATTGATTATATAAACATAGCTTCTCACTATCATTCCTGTGTTACTACTTTGTTCATGTTATGCCCAGCTTAAATGGACTGGGTTGACTGTACCCATCACTCTCACCTGACTCCCTTGTGCTTCATCTTCTGGCACTGAGCTCTGGTTTGTTTGTTTTCTCAGGCGCAGTTGATGGTTCATGCTTCTAAATCCACAGATGCACTTTCCTGTCGTGGCTATCTACTGGGAGTTCAGAATATCACCTGTTTTTGGATTGCCTGTTTCTGAGTTTCATTCACCTTTTGAGACGTATTGCTACTTTTTCTAGACCTCCTGTCACTCTGTTGACTTTGTCTATTTGTTCATTGTCAAATTTTTCTGATTGATAGGTTATTCTGCCTCCTGGTCCCCAGAAACTCCCCAGGTCTACTTCGAGATTATGTCTACCTAAATAATTGGTCAATTTTTACATCCTTGTTTCTCTCAAGACCTCATGATCTCAGTTTATTTATACAGGTTATTGATAGTTATTGATATAAGCCAAATGTATCAACTGCCTGCAGTATAATGAACTTGATAGATTCAGATTACGATTTTTCTTGAAACTCAGGAAGGTAATTACAAACAAAAACAAGAGAAAGTAAGCCATGGTAGAGCCTTAAGAAGATAAAGGAGCTGATGTAGAGAGTATTTATGATAGAATAGTCTAACAGCTCTATGAAGAATAGATTGGCAAATATGGCAAAATAGCAAAGATCAATAAAAGCCATTTTAGTAAAACAGTGAAGAAAACAGCATGTGGGATTGAGAAAGAAAGGAAAATATGAGGTATATTTCAAAGGAAAGAGTGATAGCTCTTTATTCATTAATCCTTCATCAGGCACTCATTCAGTAATTCAACACACATTGAGCATATTTGTTACGGATGGAATTATATGCCCTCCCACCTGTGTTGAAGTCTTAACCCCCCTAGTACCTCAGAAAGTGAACTTATTTGAAAATAGGGTGCTTGCAGATGTAATTAAGATCAGATAAGAAAAATCCTCTTGTTTTTCCTTAAATATTGAGTAAGGTGGACCGCTAATCTTATATGGCTGGTGTTCTTATAAAATGGGGGAACTTGGGCACAGACAGACATGCATAGACAGAAGATGAGGTGAGAAGACACAAGGAGAAGACAGGTCATCTACAAGCCAAGGTGAGAGGCTTGAAATTGATCCTTCCCTCACATCCCTCGCTTAGAATGAGCCAACTCCTTAATCTCAAACTTCTACCCTACAAAACTGTGGGAAAATAAATGGTATTTGAACCACCCCGTGTGTGGTACTTTGTTAAGGAAGCCCTAGAAAATTAATGTAACATCGAAGGTGAGAAATATTCTTCTAGACACAGGAAACATAATGGGTGGTGATGTCCCCGGCTTGGAGGAACCACTTAATTCATTGCTTAGGCAAATAAAAGTGCACACCATGGTGACTGTCACTGCAGAAATATGAAGTAATTGCACCTCGGAAAAGAGGCAAGTTCCACTGAAGAGGTGATATTTGATCTGGAATTTAAAGGATGGGCAGAGGCCAGGGGCAGTGGCTCACTCCTGTAATCCCAGCACTTTGGGAGGCCGAGGTGGGCGGATCACCTGAGGTGAGGAGTTTGAGACCAGCCTGGCCAACATGGTGAAACTCCGTCTCTACTGAAAATACAAAAATTAGCCAAGGATGGTGGCGCATGCCTGTAATCCCAGCACTTTGGGAGGCCAAGGAGAGCAGATCCCCTGAGGTCAGGAGTTCGAGACCAGGCTGGCCAACATAGTGAAACCCGGTCTCTACTAAAAACACAAAAATCAGCCAGGCATGGTGGTGCAAACCTGTAATCCCAGCTACTCAGAAGGCTGAGTAGGAGAATCGCATGAACCCGGGAGGCAGAGGTTGCAATGAGGAGAGACTGTATCACTGCACTCCAGCCTGGGAAACAAGATTGAAACTCCATCTTAAAAAAAAAAAAAAGGATGGGCAGAAATTTATGAGGAGGATAATAAGGTGGAAAGGGTATTCCAAAAGGAGGCAAATACGTGGGACTTGAAATGACTTAGAGAGCTACAAGAACGTGAGGGTGGCAGGAGGGGATGTGTCCTGGGAGGGAACTGAGAAATGACAGACCACTGAAGGCCAGAATGAGTGGTTCAGCTAGAAAGTGTTTATCCTAAAAATGAATATGGAATTAGGATTTAGAATTCGAATTTAGGATTTTTATCCAAAAACTAATTAAGAATAATCAACATTTTAGAATCAGATCAGTGACATGAATGCATTGGATATTTTTGGAGGATAACTTTAAGAGGAATGTAACAGGTAGGAGTAGTGAGGAAAGAAAGCAGCCTGGGCTCAGACAGGAGGCTGGCCAGGTGTCCACTGAGAGAGCCTGAGGCAACGGACTTAGGCAGTGTCAGAGAGGTTAGAGGAAGAAAGGCAAGGACCCAGGGGCATTTATGAGTACAATTAGTTTGAGTTAGAATCCGAGGATGCAGGTGGTGAGAGGGAGGAATGAGATGAAGATAATTTTAAATTAACCTAAAGTTTCAGGACTTAGCATAATGCCTGGCAAAGGCAGGGGCTCTATAAAGGTTAATTATTAACGTGGCTCCCAGTCACCCCTGGTAGAAACCTAGGTGTAAACATAAGAGGCAGGATTCATTTAGAGGAAGAATTGGAAGGGGTGAGGTTGGTTTGTTCCTTTACTCATTAAAAAGGTACATTGAGTGGCCAGGTGCGATGGCTCACGCCTATAATCCCAGCACTTTGGGAGGCTGAAGTGGGTGGATCACAAGGTCAGGAGATCGAGACCATCCTAGCTAACGCAGTGAAACCCCATCTCTACTAAAAATACAAAAAAAAAAAAAAAAAAAATTAGCCAGGCGTGGTGACGGGCGCCTGTTGTCCCAGCTACTTAGGAAGCTGAGGCAGGAGAATGGCGTGAACCCGGGAGGCGGACCTTGCAGTGAGCCATGATCGCACCACTGCACTCCAGCCAAGGTGACAGAACGAGACTCCAGCTCAAAAAAAAAAAAAAAAAAAAAAATGTACATTGAGTATCTGTTCTCTGCCGGAGATTGACAATGGATAGAGAGTCTCTTTTAAAGCAAAGTAGATTACAGCATCAGGAATATTTTGAGAATTAGTAAAAAACACATATTGCTAATGCTAAGAATATTCTGATCTACAGTTGGCTTCCACAAAAGCAAGAAACAAACAAAAAACAGAACCAGATAATTTTATGCTACATAATTTATTTCAAAGTATTTTTTTTAACCACTCAGTTCATCTTAAAAAGCTGTCTGACTCAAATCTTGGATAATGAAACCTAACATAAATACCACACATACAAAAGAAGACACTCAACCAAAGGAGAAAAAAGAAAAACTCCAAAATAATTGTAAAATAATCTGATGGAAGAGAGATATGAAAAATCTTGCCATCAAATTTTCAAATGCCAGAGAGATTTTCAAATCCAACCCACCTTCCTCCTTTTCTATTGTCACCACAGATGGGCTGTCTGGTATTCTCAGATACCAGTTTCCCCACATCAGCCCTGGATGCCATCCCTCATCAAGCCTAGCCCCCTATCACTAACTCGTTTCTCTCAATCTCTTCCCATGAACATCCAAGTCTCTCCCATCTTGTAAAAAGGCTTCCCACTTTGCTGCCACTTTCATATCTCTGGTTACCTTTGCATGGCCAGGCTTCTTTGAAGTGTCTACAAGGCTACTTACTCATTCTCCTCCAACTACCTCCTTCCCTCCTGCTCCATCCCCACCCTTCACTCAGGGCAGTCTGTCTCCTGATTCCCTGACGCCACTGAAACTGCATTTACCGGAGAGATACCCACAAAATATCTGAGTCTGACACAATGGCAATTCTTACCTTTCTTACTCAAACTTTCAATCACATTTGTCATTATTGACCACTGCCTCTTTTTTAAACAGTGTTACCCTCTTGATTTTCCTTAAATTTCCCTAATTCTTCCCTTTAGAACCTTCTCTTGAGTTTTTCCCCTTTAGCATGCCCTCAGATCACTGGTTCCAAAGCTTTAATATGAATATAAATCACATGGGCCTCACCATAAGAGACAATGGTTTTATAGATTTAACAAGCATCGAATTTCTTCTAAGTCAGGGGATCCACTTGAGAATCTCTTTCTTAAAGTTAGGGTTCATCAAGAATCCATCATAAGCCATGATCTGTCCTGATTCCACTACCACCCCTACTGAAAATTTTCATTTACTCCTATAGCTTTAATGCCTATCTAGACTTTGATGGCTCCCCAAACTCTTCTTTCATGCCATAACTACTCATGGCTTCCAGAGCTGATATACAGCAATCTACTAATTTCCCAACTTGAATACATTGATCTATATAAATCACAGCCCTCAAACTTCACATGCTCAGACTAGACTCATGATAGTCCCCTCTCAGCATGTCTTCCCTGTTTTTATATCTAAGCAAATAGCTGGTTGCCCAGCATACACGCCAGTGCCTCATCCCAGAGTCTTTGGTCATCAAGTGCTGTTTTCAGATGTGCTGCACTCACCTCACTTCAATGACTCAGTGTATCTTTTTCTGTGCCTGACATGTTTGTTCCCTTTATCCTTCAAGTCTTTTAGATTTCTATTCCCCTGGGAAACATTTCTCAAATTGTTTAGGACCCAGCGAGGTTCTTCCATTAAATTTCATACATCAATATCATAAGATATAATATATTTTATTGTAATTATTTATTTAGCCATCTGCCTCCATCTCTAGATTGTAATATTATTACTGGGAGGGTTTGTTTATGTTTTACTCTTTACCATTAGTATCTTTCACCTACGTCTCATTTGATGGAAAGTCAATAACTTATTGTTGAATAAATGACTAAATAATCCAACATGACAAACAAAATGTAGGCAAAAGTCCTTGCAGAAGTTTTGGCCTCTCAAGTAAAAAGGCAAACCCTCATCAGAAGAAAGCTGATTACCCTTTGTCCTATGTGGAATATGAATGTGTGCTAACTCACAAGTAATATACTTTCAAAATATTCACAAAGTTTATTTAAAAATTTTGAAGAAATTTATCAAACATTCTAAAATTTCTACATTACATTTTCTTCCTTTCTTTTGGAGTCTGGTAATTTATTTTCCTACAGGGTTCAAGGACTTCTCTTTCAAAGGCTTTGTTAGTGACTCTGGAAAGGAGTTAATATGTCTCCTTTCTTCTCATAGGATACAAATGAAAATTATTCTAACATTTCTACTTTGAAGAAAAGTCTGTTAATCTTAAAAGAGAGAACTAAAGTTCAAATCAAAGAGTTGTTCTTTCTCTTTGTTATCTGTTGAAATCATCGCAACAATTTCTAACTAAGGAGCTATTTCATTTCTTATAGTTTGTTGAAAGGAAATATTACTAACCTTTGGTGTTTTTAATTGCCTGAGCTTCTTAAATGTCTGTGTTCTTTTTTTGTACACATTCTTGAAGAAATTCATTATATTTCTTTTTCTTTTGAATTTGATTTTTTCATTTCACCAAAGTCAAATATTTCCACAAGCCTTACAGTGAAAATTCACCAGGACCTTGTCCTTTCTATTTTAGTCTCCAGTTACCAGAGGCAATAATTTTCAACAGTTTCAGTTGTGTCTTATGATTTAGACTTCCATAATTTTTACTGGTATTATTATTGTTATTTCTTTATTTTTCTATACTGTATTTTTAATTATTCCATTCTAGTATGATCCAGTGATTTTCTAATGTGAAATACTTAGATTTTATGCCAAATATTATTTGTGATTGCATCACTATTAGATAATTAAATTATTATTTTACAAATATTATTGACAGGTAAGCTATGAAGAATCCAACAATGCATTTTATTTCTTTAGTTTTTTACTTATTTTTACTTTTTCTGTTCAAAATAATTTTAGTTGCTATTATAGTTAATAATTTTCTATTTTTGCGTATGTGAGATGGTGTGTATTATACAACTATTTTCTTTTTAATAGATTATGTTTCTATTATTTTTGCATATATCCAGCTGTAGGAATTAAATATGCTTTTTGAATTTATTAAAATTCAACATAAATTAATATTCCTATCACTTCCCAGACAAAGCAAGAGGCTTAAATTCTTTAAATTCAACTATACTGCTTCTTGTGTTATTTTCATGAATTTTAAATTTATGTATATCTAAACTCCACATGATTTTGTTATTGCTATTATTGTTGTGTATAGTCAGTATTCATACAGATTTATGAAAATATTTATCCTTTGTTTTTCTTTTTATTCTTTCTTGCATTTCTGTTTCCACCTAGGTTCATTTTCCTTCTGCCTAAAAAACTACTTTAGTATCACTTTTTCTGTGGGTTTGCTAACAATACATTCTGTTTTCTCTTACAAGAAAATGTCCTTATTTTACTTTTACTTTTTTAAGGACCATTTAGCTGGGTATAGAATACAAGTTTACCAGTTCATCAGTTATTTTTATTTTCTTTCACCTCATTGCTTTCTGGCTTCCCATTTTTTAAAAGAAGTTAGTTGCCAGTCTTACTATTACTTCTTTGATAATAATGTGCCTTTTGTTTTTTATCCATCCTTGGCCTTGTCTACTGTTTAAGTATTTGTCATTGGTTTCCTGTACTTTGATTCTTACATGTCTATATATTTTTTCTTTTATATTCTTTTTGAAAGTTGTATTAGTTTGTTTCTGGTATTTATGCTTAGGGTTTATAGTGCTTTTGAAATATGCAATTTGATATCTCTCACTAGTTTTAAAAATTTTCAGTCAGTATCTTTTCAGATATTGCTTCTATCTCATTGTTTCTTAGACTTTTGTGACTACAATAAAAAATGAATTAGATATTTCAGCATAACAAATACACACACACACACACACACACACACACACATACACACAAACACATTTCTTATGCCCTTTTCATTATTTTTTATTCTTTTTTGTCTGTGCTTTACTCTAAGTATTTCCTACGGAATCGTCTTCCAGTTCACTGATCCTCTCTTCAGCTATACGCAATCTGCTTCTAAGCACATGTAAGATCTTATTTTTTCTAGACAAATTTTATTTAGCTCTAATTCTGTTTACTTCTAGAATTTTCATTACATTTTATTTTGATTTTGAAAATATTGATACAAATTCTTTATCTGTTTAGTATATAATTTGGTTGCTTTAAAGTCCAAGTCTGTTCACTATAATAGGGATGTGTTTCTTTTTTTTTTTTTTTTGATTTTTTTTTTTGTTGGTTGTTTGTTTTTATCTTTATTATTGGTAGGTCTTAGATTTGTCTGAGAACTTCTTTTCCATTCCAAGAGCTGATGGGGTTTGATATTCCACCAAGCTTGTAAACCATTATGGGAAATCTCTGTTTAAAAATACAGAAGAGGTCACCAATTATATCAAGTCATTGTACAAATTAGAAAACGATTAACTTCCTGGAAGGACTCAGACTTGAGGGCTTAGACATGGTGGGTCTTAAATTAGTGAGTTGATGGCTTTCTGTGAAGAATAAAGTAACTTTTCCTCTCTCACCTGATACAGCTTAAAGACATAAAGCATGGTGAATAGAGAGTGAACTGAATTTCAGCCTGTACTCATTCTGTCAGTGAGGTGTTTTTGTGTAAGGTGCAAACTAAGAAGCATTTCATCATGGTCCCACATGTAGGTTGCCATACATAAAATGTGATCCACAAAGTTTGAATGGAACCAAAGAATTTTTCAAGCCTGTTCTGGGAATATGAGGTCTGAATCTATTTAGTCTATAAAGTTTAAAATCTAATAAACATATATACAGATGTACATATATCTATAGAATATAAAATTTGATATTAAATTTTGATATAACTAACATGTAAAAAAAAACCAATGTAATATATTAAGATATTATCAAAAGCACATATAAGACACTTTTAGAAATGTTGGCAGGGGAAACTATGAACTGATACAGGTAGTTAATATCAAAAGCTCTGCCAATTTCTTTCATTCATAGGATAGTCTTTTTTGTTGCACAAATAAACACTTCCACCAAGACAATGATGACAAAAATGACAATTATATAGGAGAGAGAAAATTACTGGAGCAGTTTTGTGGACTGGATCCAGTTATAAGTGCCCATTTATTGAAGCTTAATATAGAGTCTCTACACTGAGCTTTTTAGACAATTTATAAAAGAAAATAATAAATGACCAAAATAAGCAGTAATGCTTCTTTTTAGGGAAATAGCTAAAAATTATCTCAATTTCTTGTTGAGTAGCTCATATATATTTATAACATATATTATGTTTATTCATCTTTTATTTTCTACTTCACTGATGGGGTTGCTCATACTATCAGGGTATCTGATTATGAGAGGGTCCTAAGAAAAATCATATAAAGTCAATAGGAGAACAGTTTTTTTGTTGTTGTTTGCTTGTTTTTTGAGACTGAGTCTCGCTCTGTCACCCTGGCTGGAGTGCAGTGGTGCGATCTCGGCTCACTGCAACCTCCCCTCCTGGGTTCACGCCATTCTCCTGCCTCAACCTCCCGAGTAGCTGGGATTACAGGTGCCCACCACAATGCCCAGCTAATTTTGTTTTTGTATTTCAGTAGAGACAGGGTTTCAGTTTTTACACTCCAGTAAGGAGTTTCTTTAAACAGCTCTTTCCTTCTATTTCTTGTCATCTTTAAGAATTGTAAATGGTCACTTCTGATGTCTGTTTAATCAAGGCTATTTAAATGAATAGCTTCTTAACATAATTTTTTAAATGCCATTTTAGAGGCAATGTGTAAGGAGATGCAAGGATTGGCTCTATACTATCATTAACTTAATGGTTTGGGTGACACTTGTTTCTCTCTGCAAGTATCTGTTTCTCCTCAGATTTCACATCAATTGTTTATCCTTCTTCATTTCTCTGAAAAAGTTCAAGGAAAATTCTTAATTTAGATTTCATCCAGCTTTTTTCTTATAAGTGTGGGACATTTTTAGTTTTCCTATATCTTCAAGATGAGCTGGAAGCCCTATATGCTACATATTATTTTTAACTTTTTCTCATTTGAAATATCATAGATTTATTTCTAGTAAAATATATTAATATTTAACTCCATTTATTTAAATAGCTGCATAATATTCTGAGTATGCATATTGCCATAGTTTATTTAATCAGTCTCCTACATATAGGCATTCAGTTTTACTAAATTATTTGTTTTTAACCATTATTACTATTATTACTTGTTAGTACCTTTATTTTATCTATGAAGCACACACATCAGGGAAATGGAAACCAACTTCCTTTTTTTCTGTTTCAGGCTCCATATGCAAATGGACTGGTGCATGACTCAGTCGTAGAGAGCCAAACCAACTATGGCATGGAACAGATGGCAGGATTTAGAAGATTCTACTCTGTATCTCCAGCACCTAATATAATTGGTAACACCAGTGGTTCATGGTCCAAGAATAATGGAAATGTCTCATGTGACAATTGTGAAAGATTTCTGGACCATTATTTCTTACTAAACCAGTTTATTGAAACTTGGAATCTGGGCTAAAAGACAGACAAGCTTTAGAAGTTAATTTATGACTGAATAGATAATTTTAGCTTCCTCGAATATTTACATTTTAATGGTGCAGGCAGGAGAAAAACCCAGGAACACAGTGATATTCCTGAATTATAGAGCAGGGGACACGAATCTTGTCTTTCTCCTGATGGAAATATTTTACATTCTAAAGGGTTAGAGTAAGAACCTAAGATCCTTTCCATTATGTTTCCAAAAAGGCTGTCTCAGAAGAGGAAGGGTGAGCAGTCATGTTTATCTTATATTTAAACATTCAGTTTCACGTTTTAGGGGGTTACTCACCTACAGCATGAACCCCTTACATGTAAGATGACATCTGTCTTTTATCATGTCATCTCAAGAGAAAAAATTTGGGTGCTAGGGAATTTCATATTTTTTACTACAAATAAATAGCACTGATGTGTTGTCCTCTAGAAAACTTGTGAGTGAATTATGAGTACCATAATAAATATAGGTGTAAAAAATTTAACATACACAAACTTCAAACTATAGGAGCGAGAGAAAAAATATATAAAGATGTTAGGTTGCTGACTTTGAAGATGAAGTTAGGGGTCACAAGTCAAGATATGAAGGAAGCCTCTAGAAGTTGAAAATGGCAAGGAAAATAATTTGGGGTAGCAAAGAACTGTAAAATTAAATAATTTAAACTTAACTTAAACATAAAGCTGTTGGAACTTTAAATTATCCTGAGCCATGAAGGAATGTGTCTATGCAGCCTGAGACATGTGACATGCAGCTGCCAACTTCTGCTTTTTCTTCATAAATAATTAAGACCAAACACACCAGAGACAAAACTACCTGGCCTCAGAAAGTAATAAGCTTCCCTGGAGTGTAGCAATCTGTAACCAACCAAACCACTGTGGCATATGCACCTGGTCTTATATGGAAAATGTTGTGATTCTGCTGAAACTTCTTTATTTCTACCTATGTAAGTGAAACCTTAACTCCTGCACTCGTACGGCTATCCTCAAGCTCTGTGCTTGAATAAACTCTGTACTTAATCATATGTTCTAAATCTCATTATTTAAGGTTGACAAAAGGTAAAAGAAAAACAAATAGAGGGGCTTTGAAAAGCTATGACACGATTCTGGGAATCTAGAAGGCCATGTGCATGCACATTGCCATTCATGCGCATAGGAAAGACCTGAGAAGGCCCTAATCTCTCACTTCTAGCTAACTTCGATTCTCTGTACAAGCAAGATGTAAAGACTAACACAGAGTTTTAAACCACCCGCAGAAGCACTAAAGGCATGCCCCAGCACACAGACCCACCTCAGCAAAGATTGGGGAATACTGAAAAGAATTGAAAAGTGAGTATCATGAACAATTCTATGCCCATAGATTGGACAACTTAGATAAAATATACTAACCCCTTGACAGACACAAACTACCAAAACTCATTCAACAAAACATAGATAACCTGAATAGTCCTATCTTTTAAGAAAATTAAATTTGCAGTTAAAAACATGCCAAAAAAAAAAAAATAACCAGATGGTTTTACTGCTGGATTACACTAAACACTTAAGGAAGAAAATAATACCAATTCTCCATACTTCATTCAGAAGGTAGAATGAGAGGGAACACTTCCAATGCATCCCCAAACCAGACAAAGAAATCACACACACAAAAATTACATAATTATAGTTGCAAAAATCCATCAAAATATTATCAGATTAAATTTGTAATATGTAAAAGGGTTAATACACCACAGCCTAGTTGGATTCACACCAGCCCTATGAAGTCACATTTAGCATTGAAAAAACAATCAATACAATTCACCATATTAATGGATTATTTAAGAGAAAACATATAATCATATCAATAGATGCAAAAAAAGCTTTGAATAAAATTAAAACCCATTCATAATAATAACTAAGTAAACCTCTCAGTAAACTAAGAATAAAAAAGAATTTTTTTTCACTTCACAAAGGATATCTTCAACAACCTACATTTAACATCATGCTCTATGATAAGAGACTGGATGTCATCATATGTCATGGAAGGATGTATGTTCTAACCACTCCTATTCAACATTGTACTGGAACCTAGTTAGTGCAATCAGACAAGAACATAGAAAAAGAAAGAAAAGACAAAACATACAGATTTGAAAAAAAAAAAACTGTCTCTATTCACAGATAATACATTTGTCTATGTAAAAATAGTCCCCCAAAATCAACCAAAAAAAGCTCCTAGAACTAATAAGATTAGCAAGTTGGCAAGATGCAAGGATTCTGTATTTGGAATTTAACCATATTCCTATATAACAACAATGAGCAATTAAAATTTGAAATACAAAACAGAAACCACTTATAATTGCAGGAAAAATAACAAAATAGGTAAAAGTAAAATAAATGCAGGATCTGTCTGCTAAAAAATACAAAATATTAATGAAAGAAATAAATAGGATTAAATAGAGATATACACCATGTTCATAGACTGGAAGACTCGTTATAATTAAGTTGTTGATTCACAGAAATTTGATCAATAGATTCCATGCAATCCCTTTGAAAAACTCAACAAAAAATTTTTTATAGCTTTTTTTTTTTTTTTTTTTTTGTTGAGACGGAGTCACCCTCTGTCACCCAGGCTGGAGTGCAGTGGTGCAATCCCGGCTCACTGCAAGCTCCGCCTCCCGGGTTCACACCATTCTCCTGCCTCAGCCTCCTGAGTAGCTGGGACTACAGATGCCCGCCACCACACCTGGCTAATTTTGTTTTGTATTTTTAGTAGAGACGGGGTTTCACGATATTAGCCAGGATGGTCTCAATCTCCTGACCTCATGATCCACCCGCCTCAGCCTCCCAAAGTGCTGGGATTACAGGCGTGAGCTTTTGTAGCTTTTTAGAAGTTAATTTTAACATTATATGGAGAGTCAGGTGACTTACAATATGAAAAAACAACTCTGAAAAAGAATACAGTTGAAGGACTCAAACCATCTAATTTTAAGATGTACTATAAAAATATTGTAATCATTACAGTAAAATATTGATGAAATGATGAATACATAAACTGATGGATGAAATAGAGGACCCCAAAATAGACCCATACTAATACAATTTATTGGTTTTTGATAAAAGTGCAAAGACAATTCAATGAAGAAATAATATTTTCATCAAAAAGTATTGGAACAAATTAGTATACATATGTGGAAAGTAAATTTCAAAAGATACATTACACTTTTTATAAAAATTAACTCAAAATGGATCATAGGCTTAAACATAAACATATAGTAGCATAGGAGAAAATCTCTCTAATTTGGCATTTGGCAATGATTTGAGGAATATCACAGTAAAAGCACAAACTAGAAAAGGAAAACCAAAATTTGATAAATTACACTTGCCCCAGATTAACTTTTATTCTGTGAAAGATACTGTTAAGATAATAAAATGATGATTCACAGGCTATTACAAAATATTTACAAATCACTTATCTGATAAAGAATTGAGTTCATAATATAGTAACAGTCCTTAAAGCTCAACCCTTTGAAGCAGTAAAAAGTGAGAAAAAAATTCTGAACAGGCATTTTACCAAAGAAGATATATGGAGGGCATGTAAGCATATGAAAAGATGTTCAACATCATAAGTCATTAGGAAAATTAAATTAAAACTATAATTTGACACCATTTCACACCTACTAGAATGTCAAAGCTAAACTAAACAATGATAGCAGCAATAAAAACCTGACAATACCAATGATCCAGGCAATAGGAACTCTTATTCAGTTTTGAAGGAAATACAAAAGGATACAACCACTTTGGAAAATAGTTTAGCACTTTTTCTCATAAAGTTAGACATACTCTAGGACCAAGTACTTTTACTCCTAGTTATTCAAAAGAATTAAAAACTTATATTCACACCAAAATGTGTACATGGATGTTTATAGTAACTTTGTTCGTGATATCTCAAAATGGAAAATCGCCCAGATGTTCTTTAAGAGGCATATGGATAAACACACTGTGACCCATCTATATGATGTAATTCTTCTCAGCAATATAAAGGCATAAGCTATTGACATATGCAACTGCACGGATAAATGTTCAACATATTTTATCAAGTGAAGGAAGCCAGATCCAGAGGCTACATGTTGCATAATTCCATTTATAAGTCATACTGGGAAAGGGAAACTATAGAGACGATTACCCTTTCAGTGGTTGTTAGGGTTTAGGGATTGGGAAGGAGCTTACTACTACAGAGCTTCATGGATGATGGAACTGCGCTAGGTGGTATTGGGATGGTAGATACGTAACCGATTGGATCCTGAAACAGTCCCATGGGACTCTACGTCTTAAATAATCGCTTTAGAGAGATATGTAATGTGATACCCCAAATTGGATCCTGGAACAGAAAACAAGGAAGTTAGTGAAAAAAAAAATTACTGGAAACTAAATAAAGTCTGTGATTTAGTTAATATTATTAAATCGGTGCTAATTCTTAGTTTCGCTAAATGTGCTGTGGTATAAAAGATGTTAGCATCAGGGAACCTGGGTATGTGGCATATGAGAATTCCCTGTGAAATCTTTGCAACACACCTGTCAATCAAAAAGTACTTTCAAAATAAAAAGTTAACAAATAATATGTATAACGGAATTCCATTAAAAAAACAAACTAAATCATGAGCATATTTCTATAAGCGCAGACAATGGTGTAAGAAAGCAGGGAAGCACAGGAACATCTCTAGCCTCTATATTGCTTGACTTGATGCGATGCACACAAATGAATTTTCTATGAGCTAATAATCTGTATTCTTAATCTCGAATCTATTAAGATGTAACGGTAAAAATCATAGCTCAGTTATAGCATTTTGTTCAAAATCTCTGCATTAGAATTAGATTTGACCCACCTGACCATTACTCACTCTTACTTGGACAAGTTTTCTAAAAAAACTCCATATTTTAATGACAATATGGTCACAAGAATAGCACATTTCTCATTTAATGTTTACATATTTGCTCTTATAGATACACTTATGTCACCAAGTGCTTACATAAATAATACGCCAATAAGTAACACATAATCATGACACTAAGAATGCAGTACATTTGGGTTTCCGTTCTTAGGTGCAACTGCCAGAAAAAGGACACAGAGTTTAATTATAATAACTAAACAGAATATAATGTAGGAATGGAAAAGTGATATTAAGCCTGAGAAGAACTGAGTATGCTAGTGAGGAGAGGACAGGAGAAAGAAGGTACTCAGCCTTTGGTATTTCTCATGTTGTGTAGCGAGGAGTCAGAAATTGCAGTCCAATTGGCTGGGCACAGTGGCTCATGCCTGTAATCCCAGCACTTCAGGAGGCCGAGGCAGGCAGATCACTTGAAGTCAGGAGTTCGAGACCAGCCTGGCTACAATGGTGAAACCCAGTCTCTACTAAAAATACAAAAATTAGCTGGGCGTGGTGGTGGGTGCCTGTAATCACAGCTACTCAGGAGGCTGAGGCAGGAGAATCGCTTGAACTCAGGAGGTGGAGGTTACAGTGAGGTGAGATCACGCCACTGTACTGCAGCCTGGGTGACAGAGTGAGACTCTGTCTCAAAAAAAAAAAAGAAAAAAGAAAAAGAAAATGCTGTCCAAGTATAATGGGTGGAAATGAGGCTTAAGCATATTATTTAACATTTCTTAGGTGACTACCATCTTAATTAAGAAACATTGAGATGAGAAGGGGATGGTAAAATAGGCCACATTTCTCATTTTTCATGGTAAGCTATTAGTAGATGATCAACTTAAAGTTGATATACCAAGATGATCAACTTAAAGTTGATATACCAAGATGATCAACTTAAAGTTGATATACCAAGAATTACAAGTATTAGCTTAATACTGTAAGTAACCACTAGAAGAACCTAAAACCAAAGCAGTCCAAAGAGACGGCTCTGAGGAGTGGGTCCGTGGGTGATATGCTTTTATTGTGTGGGCCAGTTATCAGTTTATTGCCTCTCGGCTCTAATTTCCTCCTTTATTGCCTGGTCTGTGAAAATGCATCTGAGCCGTTTAAATGCTTGTTTTTGCCAGCTAGCATAACATTAAGTTTTGTTGGTAGAGGGCTCTGGAGAGACACTACAGGAGAAAAGGGCTATGATTTCTGCTTCCACTGTACTCTCTAGCCAGCTCCTGCAGTGCCCAGAGCTTGGGTCCTGCAGCATGCCAGCTTCTCCAGCACAGTGGCCCTGCGGTGCTTGGTGGCCAGCGGCACTCTATGGCTAACAGCCTTCCCGACACCTCCCTCAGGTGTGTTTGTAGAGAATTTCCTCCAGTGAGACTTGTCCCAGGGAACAGTTTTCCTTAACGCCCTAGTGGGTGGATTTCTAGCAAGTTCCAGATAGACACCTGTTAACACCCAACCAGCAATCCCTACACCACAAATTCAGGACATTGGACATTCTCATTGGATATTTGTGAAATAAGTTATATATTTAAGGTGGGGGCTGGTGGCTCACACCTGTGATCCCAGCTCTTTGGGAGGCCAAAGGGGGCGGATCACTTGAGGTCAGGATTTCGAGACCAGTCTGGCCAACATGGTAAAATCCCATCTCTAAAAAAATACAAAAATTAGCCGGGCATGGTGGTGGGCGCCTACAGGCCCAGCTACTCAGGTGGCTGAGGCAGGAGAATCACTTGAACTCAGCAGGCAGAGGTTGCAGTGAGCCAAGGTCGTGTCATACTCCAGCTTGGGTGACAGAGCGAGACTCTGTCTCCAAAGAAAAAAAATATATATATATTTAAGGTGAAAATATGTTTTGATGTATTGGGTGGTCCTGGTGTACAACTGCTGTCCCTATGTAATTGTTAGGAGTAGCTCTTCACTTCCAAGTATATCCTATTTGGGAAACTTATTATACACTGCTTCTAATTGTACTATTTGATAAGAGTATGTAGTATTTGTCTTTATCTGCAAACCTTTATTACGTCCCCATATAATCTATATACTGGGTTTGTTTTGTTGTTGTTGTTGTTGTTGTTTCTTACTAAGAGCTTAACCCATCAAACATATGAATGACTTTGTCTTTGGTCCCCAATATTTCTCTAAAGCACACGTTAAGCCACCTTGCCCTATATCATGAAACTATTGCAGTGACAGGAACTGCCCTGTGCCCAACATCAGCAAAGTCATGCCTGGTCTCTCTCCAACCAGCTCTCAGATCTTTGTTGCCTTATGTCTGCAGAGCTCTGCACTGGGCATGAACTCAAAGGTTGTTGCCTTGCTGTTCTTCCTGACTTCTAGTACTCAACTAAAGGGCACTTTGGCAACTTTTCATATTCCTGGAAAGAGCTTAAGACTGGTTTAGTGTCCCTTGTCTAACTGAGTAACTCCAAAACCAAGAAAAACAGGCCATAGTGTTAACAACGTATTCTTGGGGACAGAGTAGACCAGAAAGATGACACTGAGAGGCTAACTCTAAGGCAAAGAAAACAGAATTGACGGCCATGCGTATTGGCTCATGCCTATAATCCCAGCACTATGGGAGGCTGAGGCAGGCGGATCACTTGAGCTCAGGAGTTTGAAACCAGCCTGACCATCATAGTGAAAACCCATCTCTACTAAAAATACGAAAATTAGCTGGGCATGGTGGCGGGTGCCTGTAATCCCAGCTACTCTGGAGGTTGAGGCAGGAGAATTGCTTAAACCTGGGAGGCGGAGGTTGCAGTGAGCTGAGATCGTGCCACTGCACTCCAGCCTGGGTGACAGAGCAAGACTCCAACTCAAAAAGGAAAAAAAAACAAAAACAAAAACAGAGTTGATGAGAAAGAGCAGAGGAAACAGGAGCACAGAATCACTGGGTTAAGGATGGGGAAGGATGGGGCGGGATGGGGACATATTGTGGTTATTGATCAGGTAGCAGGGTTGAAACAAGGGATAATCAGGTAAAAGTCAAGATAAATAACAGAGAAAACAAGTATTGGGAAAGTTAGTTGGTGGCTAGGCAATTACTTTTTGTCATAAAAAGTCCTGCAAATACTATGTAGTACAAAGAATCTAGGAAGCAATGCTGTTTTGTTTGTGTTAATGAGCACTGTCCAACAACAGCTGCTGAGAATCTCTCTCAGCTCCTGGCCATGAGGGTAGGAGAGTGTCCATGAAGTAGTTACACCACCTGTTGAATAAAGACAGTTGAATCTTCACAGTCAGCTCCCTCTCATTTTAGTCTGAAGAAAGTGCCTCTTCTCTTACCCCTATTGCTTACCTGAAACCTTGAGAACAAGTCAAAGGGGCAAAAAAAGAAGACATTCAATTGCTGTGTGTTATAATTTTCCTTGACAATTTGGTTGAGAAACATTGTTTGTTGCAGATCATGGGACAACCTTTTGAGACCACTTATATCCAAAGATCGAGTTGAGTGAGTGCTCTTTGGAAAGATGAGTAAGGATGGGAGTGAAGTTAGGACGCTTCACTTGTGACCATTGATGACTTAAGTTGCCAGTTCCCCTCCGTTAATGACAGATCACACTTGACAACATCCTGAGGCACAGAGTTCCATTTTCTGAAATTACCCAGGGCAGAAATTTACCCATTTAGCACTGTCATTCCTACTTTAAGTGGCCAAAAGGAAAGAAAATTTCTTTTTATCAGAAAACACTGAATTCAGTTATGGAAAATGAGTGAGCTTCATTCTGATAATGTATACGTGGTTACTGTTCAGGATCGCCTCTGGTGCCTGGTGTCAGTCAGCCACAGTGATGAGCATGAGGGCAATGAAACCCAGAGCAGTCAAAGAGATCCCTGCTCTTTTGCATTGGTGGCTATTGTCCAGTAGGGGCCAATCTGAGCTCTTGGATTTAGTTTAGAGAGGAGGCACTACGTGCATAGAGGCCAGAGAATGACACATTCGCTGGGTCAAACTTGCAGCTGGCTCAGGATTTTTAAATGAAATTTCAATTAAAATGTTGGTTTGGTGTTTTCATGCATTCAGGCAGGGAGTAATCACTTCTGTCCAGTTAAGAGAATAAATGGGGCATTTGTTTACCCAAATCAATAACAGCAACAGTAATTTGAAATCTTTGAAAATATTTATGCTGATAATGTAAGAGACTACATAGGTGTGAGTTGAAAAGTAAATATATAAAAATGGATAACATGCATCAGATACCCATGTTGGGAAAAAATTCCGTGTATTTTTTCTTGACATATTCAATATATCTTAAACAAGGGTTTACAATTACCGGTTCAGAAGCTTCCCCTGCCTTCTTTCCACCCAAAAACTTACAGAAAAGCAAAACTTTACTAACACAAATAAGAGCTCTGAACAGCATTTGAATTCCCATCACACCACACCTGGTAAGAATCAATCTACCAGAGCGTCATCAATCATGCTGAGGCTGTCAGTTTTGACATCCTTTAAGTGTACGTTGTGTGCTTAGTGACTACATGACAGAAAATGTAAACAGACACCACAAATACAGGTATTCAGTACATATATGTGTGTGTATGTTTGTATTTGAAATATTTGGTATAAAGAAGTACAAAAAATTACAGCACACAAAACTGTCCATTAAAACACACACATGCACACATGAATGCCTGCCTGCCTCTAAGAACAAGAATGAGAAAACAACAAACAGAACAAACAAAAACAAGCAATTTGTCACACAAAATCACAAAGCTCATTCAAATAATTTACCCAAAGCAAAACGAAGTAGATCAAGTAACTGATATCAGTGTGTGCCCACCGATGAATAGATTATATTCTTATTAGCCATCCCCTTCACCCTTCATGGTGACACATCAAATTGTGACTTACTAATAGGCATTCGGAAATAGCTGGTGAGCCCAGCACAAGCCCTGTATTAATAATTCATCAGGTGCAAAAAACATGATGGTGAAGTACTTGAATATTTGAAAGCCCATGTGCATTTTTGGTTCAAACACCACCACCACCAATGACAATCAACTCAGTTTCTAATTCTATTATTAGTAGATTGCTCATTTTAATTGATTTCAGGAGAAATGTTATTCTTTTGACAGCTTATTTAATATTATTATAGCATACCCCGATTATTGAGTTCAGCAATTTTTCTCATATTTCAGAAAAAGGTATCATTTGATGTTTTGCAAAGTGCCTATTTTGAGGGCTCAGTTACATATTTATACCTGTAAAAGCCTCCGGTTCCCTTTTCCCATCCTGTACATTTCCTCCTCCCAAACAGAGGTACAGATGTAAGAAAATTTGGAATGCTAAATGCAGAACAACAAAAATAAAAAACTCAGGAATTAAAACTCCAAATTGAACCACTCTCTTCCACAAAAGTCACAGAATCTGTTTTGCTGCCAATACATCGTTTTGGACTTTGAAATATAAGGTAAAGTTCAACTATTTTCTTTTATTTTTGTATTAATTTTCTCATCTCTAACTTAGTAGATTCAAGTGTAACAGTTTCTGTAAAACTGAATCATAGCAAGAAATGTAGTATTCAAGTTTCTTGAAATATTCTCAGGATGTCAGATTCATTTAATAGCAAAATTATATCAATTTAAAAAGCAATGGAAATGCAAGAGGAAGATTATATATACACACACACTCACACACACACATTTCTGCATGTGTGAAGAAAAGTTTTCATTTCTATGTAATTTTTTGTTACCAAACCAGAATGGTAGACTCTGCTATTAATTTTGCATTGTCAAATAATTTGTCTCAAGCAAGACTTCTCAAAGTTCTGGAATAACCAACATATCTGGCCATCTGCATGACTTTAAGTCTATGCTCTATCAGATCTCCACATGGACATAATATACAGCAACAAATACTTCTTCCCTGAAAGCCTAGTTTCAAGGGATAATTTATATGTATCCACACAAAAATAATAAAATACTCTCTCAACTCTTTTCATGCTTCAAAAAATTAAGAAAAGAGTAAGCAAAAGTAGTAAAGGAGAAAGTACGTGAAAAGGAATCTATAGCTAGACATCTTTAGAAACGGTATATTACTTTACATTTTAGACATGTTTTATGTTAGCAGATGCTTAATTTCTAGAAGGATTATTAGGTATATGAGAAATCCAGCTTTATAAAGAAATCCTAATGACAACAAAATGTTGCTGTAAAATGATTATCTTGTGTTCCCCCGAAAATATTATTTTATTTTGCTTTTTCAGAAAATATAGACCTGGCATCTGGTTAGGTAACTATTCAAAACTAAACAATTCCACATGGGGTCTATCTTACTGCTAATGCCCACATTAATTCAAAGTCTAGTTTCTTATTTAGGTTGAATCTTTGTCATTACCTCATTACTTAATCTAACAATAGCAATGGGCCACAGGGACCACCCCCCCCCCCCACAAAAAGAGACATCTTTCAATTTTCATTTAAAACAACAGAATATATTACAAGTTAAAATTCACAGGGAAACTTCAGTGTAGAAGGGGGAACAGCATGCATCTGGCCCTGCGAGCTGTTTTTTTTTTTTTTTTTCCTCAAAGGTTATCGGCAATCACTGCTTTCAAAGCCGTTTTCACTGCATTTCAGATGCCAGAATATACTTCATACAGTATTAATAAAGGGTTGCACCAGAATTAATGAAAAGTTTCCATGTTCACATATAATAAAGAAGTACCTAATTAAAGGCATGGTTAAGCCAGAAGTACAGATATTGTCTTTTATATTAATATCTATTATATTTTAGCATTTACTGTGAGCCTCTTCAACTGACTGATGCCTGAAGGGAGAACTAAGAAATCGCTCAGCTGGTGGCTGGCACTGGTCTTGAAGAAAGCTAGTAAGGAACACTTTGCAGCCTTTCAGAGTTTCTCCACCAGCTGTCACCAGCTATGGGTGCTGAAAAGACCCTGTCACTTCATCCAAAGGGATTTACTTGGTCAGAAGGAAAATTTAAATACAAAGCATGCAGCTAAGAAGCCAGAGAAAAGGATTATGAGCGTACAAGCGCACATGTGTATACGACACTAATACATCTTTAGGAAATTTCAGATCCCCAAGGCCAGGATTACTGCCAGGGGCAGGGTGGTGGACCTATGCAGGGACATTTACCACTAGTGTTATTATCTTCCAACTATTCAATGCAACTTTATAGGTCTTTCCCTGAGGCCATTAAAGAAGAAGAAACAGAAAAGAAAAACTGCCATCCCCTCAATGGAGAGCAATAATTCAGGTTTTCTTATTGTTGGGAATCACCTGCATGCAAAATACTCTGTTGCCTTGTGTACTTGGTCTAATTTTCTTGCCCTTGTCCAAATTTACCAATGGGATGCATCTGATTAAGGATGGTAAAAGCAAATCAAAGTATGAGAACTTTTAGGCTCACTACTCTGCACACCAGGAGACTGAGAAGCTCATCCAAAACAAGACAGCAGGTCACTGAAATGGCCACAGCGAGGATGCTTGGGGAGGAGGTGGTGGTGAAAAGCCAGCCCTCTTTGCAGGATAGTCAAGGGCAAGGTTAAAAGTCCCTACGGAGAGTGAGGAAGTGGCAGGAAGAAGCCTACGGAATTGAGGATGCAAAAAAAGAAAAGCTAAAGGTAAAGGTCATTTTATCCAAAGAAGAAGAAAAGAAACACGGTTCAAATGTGGGCACCCAACATTAAAAGTGCGTATTTCCTTGTGCCAAGTGGCAAGGCAGTTGCATCCAATTCATGATAGCAGCAGGTGGCTTGGACAAAGCCTACCCCTCAGAGGAAATTTATACAGCCTCTGGAGCATATTGTTAGCTCCAGGAACGCAGGAAAGGGAGCATTACATAGCCAGCCAGCTGTGTAATTGCCACCAAGGCAGAATCTTGGCACAGGGGAGTGGAGGTTCTCACCCAAGGTGTGTTTTACATACTTTAGCCTCGTTTGGCCTCAAGATGAGGCCAAATAATTGTTAAGGGTATTGGTTTCAGAGGAGAAGACAACCTTGCAGCAGCGACAGAAGTGATAGAATATTGTACACAAGAGAGGAATTCACAGATGGCAAGAAAATTCCCACTCTCAACGATACAGACTGAGAAAAGAGAAGACCTGAGGTAAAGCTGCTTTGTGCAGATTTTAGGAGAAATATGTCAGAAGCTATCATTAGAAGCATTGGTAAAAAGGAGCAAGCTGTCTGGAAGTGCAGTACAAGTTGAAGAGTCTGCCTTTAGATGTCACTACAACCTCACTACTGCATTTCCAAAATTCCCATGAAGAATCAGAATAGTTTGACTCCAGCCCATGTACACTGTACACAGTTCCAGGAGATACTGCATAAGGGTCTTTAAATTTCTTCACAGAGGCTATCATACAGCGGTCCCAGCAAAGCTGATTAGGGAAGCAGCTTGACTCTGCTATAGCCTTTCTGCCACCTCCAAGCTGTTCCCACAGTCACCTTATTCACTGCGGAGGCAGGCCCCCTAGCAAGACTGGAATACAACAAATGCAGATGAGATGAGCCCTCCCCCACTTAAACCGGATGGCAATACTAAGGAACAGCTTAATGTGCACCCACAGTGATTGATACTTCCTCTCTTTCTCTGAGGGGTTGCATTCTAATACACTCGTCTAAAACTAACATTTCTTATGTAGAAATATGGCTTTGCTTTGTTTTTGCTTTTATCCTAGAGGATATCTATCTGAGGATATTTTACCTATCAGATAGATAGGTAGATGATTGATAGGTAGGTAGGTAGATACATAGATAGATAGATAGATAGATAGATAGATAGATAGATAGATAGATAGACAGACATATATCCATACTGCACATTTAAGGAATAATAGCATAACACTTCCAGATTCCTACAAATCCAAAAGGGTCATTTTCTTTTAAACAAATTCACAACAGATTCTTAGGAAAAAAAATAAGCCAGCAGAAATTGAACCGCATCATCTCAGACTTCTTTTGCCTACTTAAAAGAGGTATTTCTGTGGCAATGTGACATTTGTGCTTGAATTATTTTTTCCACAGGAAGGCATTGCAAATGCTCATAATTTAAGAGCCATGTATCCAAGGAAGTCCAACTAACTATTAGACAAAAAACTCACTCTGATAACTGGCATCCAATCTAAAATCTGGGAAAAACTTAGACAAATCAAATATCCAGTGAAAACATTACCAAATGCTGCACGACGCAACTGCCTATACATTTCTAATCAGTATTCATTTCCTGTCCTTAAAATAAACAGAAAACAGATTTCTCCATTTTCCCTAAAATCAATCTTTTGCAGTATCTGTCAGTTGCTTTCACCCAATTAGTATTCTACATTCATTTATTTTCTTTGTAAGTTAATTTTTTTTTAACATACCTTGGCATGGGTGTTTCATTCAATACTTGTAAATGAAATGACAGAAAAACACTGTGTTCCTTTAGGCCCTCAAACTTGTAACTTTGTTAATGAATTGAGATGAATCAAAGATACCTTATTAATTATTGCTTGCCTGGTAGGTTAAGCTTTGGCTTTTCACCTCACTGGCCCAGAGAACAAGATTGCCTTTGGCCATGTCCGAGGGGCTCATTAAGGCATCTCTGGGGAATGAGAAGAAATTGTTAGTGAAAAGCAATGGTCAGTTTCTCTCCCAGAGACCCAGCAGGGAAAGGAAGCCCTCATCAAGGAGAACTAACAAGACTGTGTGTACTACACCTGTAATCAAACTGGCCTGAAAATGCCTGGAGACCACTGTGCTGTCTTTGCGATTTGGGAAGTTATCTGAAAATGCTGAATCCAATCCATAATTGGTATGTGCACGCAATTATAATCCTCCAGATAGCTCAAAAATGTTGCAGTTACAAGCCTCAAGGAGTGGTAAACTTTAACATGCATGGCATAAACTAAGATATTTGATATAATAGAAGAGAAAACTATTCTGGCAGCAGAAAAGTAATTGAATATATGCCTGTTTTTTCTTAATGAGCATAATTATATACAGTTTTTTGACAGCTAGTGGACTACAGTACAGCCAATATTATAGAACATATATTTCAAGTCATTTATATTGTACACATTTCTATATGTCCGTAATTTCTATTCTGCATGAAGTGGAGAGATCTCTCCTAAGTGAGGTGAATCATGGCATTCATTGGAAACAGAGACATGTGTTGCTGCAAGTTTGGAAGGATTAGGGATTGGGAATTCTAGCAATGGAGTCATAATTACCAGCTACTTCATTCACTCACTCATTGTATTAAAAATATTTGTAAAACTTTCAAAATGGCATGTCCCCCAAGATGGTTCTGTAATGAGGCTGCAGAGTCCATGGGTTGATGTGTTGGGTGCACCAACGGAGGTCAGTCAACAACGTTTATTGATTGCTCACTGTGGGCTGAATGCTAGGCTAGGCCAACCTGCTTGTGCAGCACGAAGTGGTATTGGATGTCAATGAAAAGGAAGCCCTGAAATGTCACCAGTCCTTTTTGCTAAGACTGTCACTCTACTGAATATCTTTCTGAACACATCAGATCAAATACATTGGAAAAGAGAGGACATGGCTCCCTATGCATATTCCCATGTATATAAATTTTTCGTAAAGCAAAGTCTCCAAAACTTGTTTCTCAAGGTCAGTGAAGAATAGTACTGTCAATGGTGATAATGCTGAGAAACATGGTGTCTAGCTGCAAGGCAGGCCTAGAAAAGTTTCTGGTTTACTCAGACCAGACTGGGCTTCTTGATTTTCAAACATTCCTTGTCATTATAATGGGAGAAAAATAAAGCATGGTTATAGATTAAAAACATAGGAACAAGATTTTCTCATTATTAAAGTATATTCCTAAATATTTACACATTTGGTTAAATTAAAATTTTATGTATTTATCTTGGAAGTTGAGTTCAAAATGAAAGCAAAATCCTTGAATTTAAATTAGTGAGAGTTCTAAAACAATCCCATTAGCCAATAAATGTCAAGGTTTTTTTTTTTTTCTATAACTTCTCTCCTTAAATACTGCTTATGATTTGAAATTGATACCTAACTTCATTAGCCTAAGGAAAAAGCATGCCAAGCAAAGTTTGAATGGATTCAATAAGTTGTATTAATAAAACATGTAGATCTACAGATTATTTTTAAAAATCTAAGTTTGGAACTTGTGATGTTTCACAAGGTACTCAAACAATCTGGCAAATTAATTGTGTTATTTTTTCTAAAAAATCAAGTATGCAATCTGAGCCTACAGACAAATTGTAATAGTAAGAAGTAAAATCTATTCAAGTTTTCAATTCAAATATGTGGATCTTCTCAAGCCATCAGTCTGACGAGCCTAACAAAATAATAATGAAAAACTTAATATAAGATTTGGAAGTATTGAGATAGGACCTACTACATATAAAATAAAAATGGGAAATACATATGCTTGAGGTAACTTCTGGTCAATACACAATTCTTATGAAATGAAATTCGTACAACTTTTTAGAAATTTGCTTATACCAGTGATCCTCAGGGTTTATTATTTGTTTTTTTATGACCCCTAAAGAGCCTTTGTAGATATTTTATTTCTAATTGTTTCCCTCCCCATGAAATCGTATTAGTTCAGATATATTGTGTATCCGTTGATGTGCTGTAGTCCTTTAGAGAGCCATAAAAGGTTATAATAGCTAAGATTTTTTTTCAGCTCCCCCCACCCCCAAGAATCAATTTCACCCCCTTGGGGGCGATATTGTCCCTGCTGAGAATACATGGCATTCACTAATTCTAATTTCCAGACAGGGGATGGATATGTTTGCTGTAATAATCTCATCCTTTTTTTTCTCTTATCAATATATCGTTGCTAAATGATAAGCAGGGAAACTTCGTAAACTGTCGTTGCAGATCTTAGAAGGGAAAGTGGCATGAAGAAATGAGAGAAATCAATTTGGGGGATCGTGTGGCAGATGTAGGTTCATTCTATAAGTGCGTCCAAGAGCAGAGTCTTAAATCAGCACCTCTAATTTGAGATACGGCACATACATTGTAGCAACAGTGCATGTCTGCAGCGCAAATAAACAAACACCCACCCCCGCCATCCTGGCTGGTCTCTTGACCTGCAAGGCTGCTTTCCAGCCTGTGGGCCCCATTCGGAAGCCAAGCAGGTGAGGAGCAGCGAGAGCGCTTTTGATGTTGCCAGCTCCCTTTGCCACCCAACTTTTTTCCCCTCCAAAACCTCTTAGCAAACTTCAAAGGCCTCCTTGCTTCTTGCCTTAATCCAGTGCACTGAGACCTCCAGTTCAAAGAACTTTCCTTAAACCCTCTTCTTAAACGGCAACCCAAACTTTTTTTCTTTCCTTTCCACAAAGTAGCAATTACAGCTCCGTTGCGTGGCGATTGGGCTCGGCCGATCCGCTCCTGCTATTAATTAATCTCACAAAGGGGGCTCATTTCCTGGCATTCAAATTGACAAGAGACCAGAGAACAGAAAACCCTTTCAAGCAGTTTCAGCTCACCGAGGGGAAGAGGTATCAGAGGAGAGAACCCCACAGTATTTGAGGCGGAGGGCACATTTGATACTCCCTGTACATTCTGCTGATTGAATGATTTTTGTTCACGGAGAGCTCTTTACTAATCTTTTACCTGCAAAGACTTAAACAGAAGGCAATGCAGCAGAAATGTAGCTAAATTTTTGACAGAGGAGATTTACAGGAGCCACTTCCCGATCTCAGCCTACCGAATGCATCTTCTTGAATATCACACTTCACTTTAAACAGAAAGTGTTCACTTTACTCACACAGAAAAGCCCTTGGAAGAGGAGGAGATGAAGAGAGGCAAGAAAGCAGCATAACAGACAAGAGATTAAAGCTTTTTATTCAGTATCTCTTTCGTATTCAAATTGTGCTAAGGGCTCTGTGAA
This sequence comes from Homo sapiens, assembly GCF_000001405.40. NCBI lineage: Eukaryota > Metazoa > Chordata > Mammalia > Primates > Hominidae > Homo > Homo sapiens. Next base: position 103,293,935 of record NC_000002.12, read on the forward strand.
AGTTAGAAGCGAGCTTGTTCAGGAGGGCTTCTAAAGTGTGTACATGGATTTCATGGGAATAGAAAAAAAGCCACAGCCTGGGTAATGAAAGAAAGATAAGATGTCCTACATAAAACAACTCAAGAGTGGTTCAATTACTTCAGCAAACCATCAAGGCAAGCTTTGAAGATTTGAGAAAACACTGTTAAAATTTAACAAAAAACTCATGTTGCAGGTTTTGTACCAATAAATGTTTGTATACTCTGTGAATTGCTTAAGTTATATTCCCCCTGCGTGAATATTGTTTACGTCTTTGGTTTGGGGGTGGATGGGACCAATGCATTTTGACGACACCAGCTATAGAAAAGGAAAGTCCTTTATCAAAGTAAAAAGAAAACAAAAATACTCAGAATTATTTAGAGTCAGAGATTCAAAAAACCAGGTGTCTTTGATTAAATGAAAATATGCTGGTGAATCAGAGGTCCCTCAATGCAGTTTTAGTTAACATTGAGTGGCTGGGTTTTAACACAGATTTCATGCATACAATGAAACGAAGTCTTTACTAGAGAAAAGGGCTTTTTTACCTGCCTTCATCTGTGAGGTTGAAAATACTTGTGTTAAACGAAAGCAAAAAAGCTTCTTCTTGTGTGTGGAACAAGATAAGAAGGAGCCTTAAATGTTGTTTACAGAGGAAGCGAAACAGTTATGGTCTTCAAAATTCTTCAAACCTATGTCACATTTAACAGGGTATTGCCATTCGTTTTGCGATGTGGATGTGTCCTCTAAGACATCTCTTTTTTTGTTAGCATGGGCAGTTGTCTTATTTGATATTCAATCCCACCATGATCTTATCTGTATCGTGATATCGAATCAACTGGGGACTTTTTTAGGGTTTCTTTCTGTTTCTTTTTCTGGTGGCTTCTTTGTGCCTACATTGACTGTTCTTCATAGCTCCAATCAGAAATGCAATAAAACTTCAGCTGATGGAAAATTCTTGGAGAGAATGTTCAAAAAGCATCTTAAATAATTTTAAACAGTGTGTACTTTAGTGTTTCTTAAAGTTTGGTCCAAAATGTATTAAAAAATAAGCTCAAACAGTGATCTCATATGCAGTTCAAAAATTAATATGGAAATTTTCATTTTTTTAATCAAAGGCTCTCTTAAAAGGTAATTAAAATTTTCTCAAATCATCTATCAAATGTTATGTTTTCAATTATGGTAGGGGAGGGATTGTGACTCCAGTCAAATGCAACACATCTTGTGTAACTAAAGTCAATATTATAGAACCAAATTCATTGTGCAAGCCTGTGAAATGTAGAACGAATTTAAGTTTTACGTTTTACACAATTGCAATTAATTTTTTAACATTTTTTCTAAAGTCTGTATGACCCAGAGTCTGTATACATAAGCTACATTTAGTTTTATGTCTTTAACTGGAAAAAAAAATGCCATCCTCAAAAGTAGAGCCACATGACCAACTGTTAACTTACAAAATAAAGATAGCAAATTTAATTTAAAAAAAGGAAAACAGTAGCTTTATGATAAAGATACCCTTGTGTAATTGGAAACCTTGGAAACCAGGAAGTCTCTGTGGCCCTTGACCCCAGCTGAGTCCAGCACAGTATTGAAGAGTCACCGGAGCGGGAACAGGTGGTAGTCTGCAGGTGGCAGGGGGCACACAGGTCCTGCACACTGATCTTGGGGCTTCTTAACTCTGAGTTTAGACCGTTAATTCACTACTGCAATTGTGTGAGTGTCTCCCTTGGCCAAAACCTTGGCCTTCCCAAGTGAGCAGAGCATGAGAGGTTCTGAAGACAGATGCAAAGGATGCTGGAGGCAGGAGCAGCAGGCAGAAACAATTAGCACCTCATGTTATTAGGGCCAGTTTCTGTAGTCACACACTTTACAGAGGCCTGTCTCCAAAGCCCTGGAAGTGTGTGTCTGTGTTTGGGTAGGGGAGGTGTAGAAAGAGGAGAGACAGATCAGGAAACAGAGACAGAGAGGTAGTAAGGAAAGACACTGAGATCATAAAAGAGAGAGCGGAAACAGAAAAAAGGTAAGCTTTTACTCTCTGCATTTTCATTCATTTGCTTAGACTTGGTCTCCTCTCTGAGACAAGAACCCCATATCATTCTCTTTGTCAGCATCCACATGAACATTAACCGGTGTTCTTAAGAAGCATAGAAGATTTGTCAAAAAAATAAAAATAAAAAAAAGCGGCCCTCAACAGAGCACAATACTCACAGGGTTTAAACATATACTTTTTGATGATGATTATTATATACGAAAAATATTTTGGAAAAATAATCAGATGCAGAGCAGGTTTTTGTTCCTATAATTGCCATATGGTTGAAAACGCAATGAGTTTTAAATATGAAACTTTCCTGGCAACTCTAATCACTATCAACAACCTACCCACAAAGGTGCATTATTATGAATACATGCTGTGAAATGTATCCACAACAGTCAGGCCTGAATACGACAGTCTGTTGTTCACCAGTTCCATAATCAATATTAAATGCTGTATGATCAAATCGACTGCAATACTCAGTGCTACAGAGAGGACTAAATTGAAAGAAATGACTGGGCTGTAATCCAGGGCTGCAGTAGCCATAGAAGATAATAATCAAAAAGTAACTTGAGAAGATAGGGTAATATATTTTCCCACTGCGAAATCAAGCTGTAATTAGATTGTACAGTGAATTAAGGAATTCACAGAATCTTTTGTGCAACAATAAAATAAAATCAATTTTAAATATTACTTATCAAAGGCCCATCTTTAAGCTTATGCATTTAGGGAAAAAGCCTAGGCTTGGAGAAAATGAATAATAATTCTCCTAGACCCAGCAACTCTGGACGTTGAATTCTAAAAAGAAGTTACCCCCTTGCTAAGAAGCATAACCACATATTCCTTTTTCTTGCTTAATTTTGTGCAAAACTCTCACTGTCTGTCTCTTTTGCTGTCTCTATATCCCTTGCACTTTCTCTCTCTCACACACACACCACACACACACACACACACACACATACACACTATCATCTGAGAAAGAAACTGCAGTACAGGTATTCTGCCAATTAGAGTATTTCACTATTCCTCTTGTTTAGACTTAAATGTACTTAAATCTGTCCACATATTATTGAAAGAACCTAAAAAGCAGGTAATGTTTAATGTTTAAACCTGCAGGGCATTTCCCTACAAATATGGAAGGATTTAGGCTTGAGAGGCTGCTATCATCTTACTGAATAAGTAAGTGATATCTTGAGTTCATTTTAAAAAGAGATATGTAACTTCATTGTTTGTGAGAAGTCTATTTTAAGAGCTAAATTGATACTCGACTCTGCCCATCAAATCTTTAGAATGTGAAATACCTATTTTTCCGAAGTAAGAATATATGTTGAAATCAATAATTACAAAATTGAGTAGACATTCTCATTATTGTTAGATTAGCATGGGTGTATTATAGAGAGGATAAACATTAAAAGGGAGACTACAGTAGGAATTTTTTTCTTAAAAACAAAAATAATTAAATCTTATTCCTTTCTTCAATAAGCAACTATCTAAACCATTAATTGCACAAAACTCTTCTGTGTAGGTATTAAGGCAATCTTTATGCTTTTGAATGGGAAGTAAAGAAGAGTACTAAAGCATCCTAAGATACCATTAGATCTTTATATTACAGAGACACAATCTTGCTCTTTTTTAGTAAAGGCTTAGTTTTTAAAAGACAAAATAATAATAATCAAGTTTGTTTAAAAAAATCACTCTGAAGTATTTCTAATTTATTTAGCACTTACAAATGGATTAAAAGGGAAACTAAGTCCTTTATTTACAATTGTTAAAAGAATGTAATAGATTCTCTGGCAAGTGTCTTGAAATTCTTATCCTTAATTTATTGACGAATCTTGATTCAGCTTGATTGTGTTCTTATAAGCTTGGAATGAATTTAATTTTTATTGGGAAACATTGTTGCAAGGTCTCTAAAACACATGCCAGTGTATCCCCTAATATGAAAGGACACTGGTCCTTTCTACTATTAACCTCAGGATAAAGCTGGAAGTGCAAATTTTTCACTGAAACACAGTAACAATGTAAAAACAACCAGGAAATTTCACTTAAATCTGAGCAAACACTTATGACCAAAAGTACTGGAAGCCCCTCTCACCGCCACTTCCAGAATGGAATCATCATGTAGTCAGGGTCTTCATTCTCTTCACAACAGACTTTCCAGAACATAGAAGAATGCCTGGACTTAGCAAATGCTCATTAACTACTTGATGCATAAAATATAAGGGGTATTTCTACCCATACACATAGATTTCTCTGATTCAGTAATGTGACATTAGTAAAGTGAGGCTAACATGTTATATTTTTATCCCCTTCCCCGGTAGATTCACTAGACAGGGTGGCTTAAGTCATTTCTTCAAGGAGATACCAACTTAGGAACAACTCAACAATACCTAATCCCCCGACATGGGGGAAATAATTGGCTATAGAAACCAATGATGGCTAGCATGTTCTTCTTGCTGAAGACATATTATCCTGAAAATGTGCACACTTTGATTTTAAAATGGGAGAATCTGGAGCTTCATTTCAAACCATAGTGCTTTCTACCTTACAAGTAAGTCACAAAAATAACCAATGTTTAAAGTAAGGTAAATAGAAGCACATTGCGTTTCTTATACTCATGGAACCATGGAAATGCATAGAGGAATTGTTTATACCACACGTAGGGTGGTGGCCAGTTGACACCAACTTCTTAAAGCAATGGCAGTTTTAAATAAGGGAAAACAAAAAAATGTCAATCCTACCCCTGAGATTTGGCATGGGTGGGTCACTTGTATACTCAAACTATATGTTTCAGAAATATAATTTTCCAATACGGTAGGGAAGTATTTGAGTTCAGAAATCTACATGAGATGCTTCTACATATCTTTATCATATACAAGAATAAAATTGAGTACGCAGATATCTCTACAAGTGTTTTGGCCTTTTTCATTTGCAGCAGATTTGTGATTTTGTAGGTATGAAAAAGAGAATATAAATACAATTTTCTTTAACATTTTTACACAGGTCTTATATATCATAAGATCTAGTTGAGTTACTTAGAAAAATAAAAATTGAATAATGCAAAATAGAAAACATTTTAAAAGTTAGTTGTAAATTTTTTAAGAAGCAGACAAGAATGCTGCTTCATAGAAACTTTACCTTTGTACTGAGGGTGTTATTCATGATAGACACGGCTTTTATAGACACTATCTTTTGCATTTAAGTACAAGAAGATGTAGAGTAACCAGAATGATTAAGGTCACTTTAACACCAAAAAACCCATTTACTTGAGATCTCAAATTTGGTTTGTTTGAGTGTTTTTTTTTATTGCTAATCAAATTTGCTATTTTTTTAAAAACTGCAAACTGTTGAATAAATTTTAATTAACCTTTCACAACATATAGTTGTGAGGCATAGAAATCTTATAGTGTCATTTCCTATCTTAGAAGTAATATAAGAAAATTATGAAATGGAGATTTTCAAGTCAAATTTTTCATACATTTCCAAAGATCATTTATAAAATGTAGATCTGCATGGAATAATGCTCAGTTTCCACTTGGATATAAATGGTTCTGGTTCAGTAAAAGTTAATTTGAAAGTTTAAAAGGGGATATGTTTCAAAGTGCTTGCAAAAGAAAACTGGGAAAAAAGTAAATGTTAAGTTATTCAATAAATTAGTAAAAAGTATCACTATGGAAACCTTTCAGCAGCCAGCAGAGAGAACTGTGTCCTGCACAGTTCCCTTCTGGGCACTCAGCTGTGTGCTGTAAGTTTCAGGTGTGGGGTCTGGTAGTCCCAGGGCCTTTAGCTTTGACTTGATTAACCCATCATTTCTTGTCTCTTTTGCAATACTACCAATCAATGTGTGAAGTCCCCAGCTCCTCTTTTGATGACATTGAAAAGCCGTTTATATAGATCACAAAGCTATGCCAGTTCTAAAATAGGTTTCAGCACTTTAGGCCCAATTCAATAGTGTCTCTATTATTATATTTGGTGGTTAAAGGTTACCAAGGAGGCATTGTTTTTTAACTGGTTCAATGACTTTGATACTATTATTCATTACTTGAAAAAACATGTTTTTGTTATAGATATGTGTTTTGGAAAAATGACGGCAATTTCATGGTGTTGTGATTTACAGAGTATAATTTCAGCATGAACTTGTATAGTCCCTTAGCTTGGTCAACCATAGCATTTATTTTCTGGTGATTTAAATTATTTGTTTATGGAGAAAATATTTACTGACTTAAACTTTTTTTAATTATACTTTAAGTTCTGGGATATATGTGCAGAAAGTGCAGGTTTGTTACATAGGTATACACGTGCCATGGTGGTTTTCTGCACCCATCAACCCACCATCTACATTAGGTATTTCTCCTAATGCTATCCTTCCCCTAGGCCTCCACCCACCCAACAGGCCCCGATGTGTGATATTCCTCTCCCTGTGTCCACATGTTCTCATTCTCAACTCCCACTTATGAGTGAGAATATGCCATGTTCGGTTTTCTGTTCCTGTGTTAGTTTGCTGAGAATGATGGTTTCCAGCTTCATACCTGTCCCTGCAAAGAACATGAACTCATCCTTTTTTATGGCTGCATAGTATTCAATGCTGTATATGTACCACATTTTATTTATCCAGTCTATCATTGATGGGCATTTGAGTTGGTTCCAAGTCTTTGCTATTGTGAACAGTGCTGCAATAAACATATGTGTGCCTGTGTCTTTATAGTAGAATGGTTTATAATCCTTTGGGCATATACACAGTAATGAGATTGCTGGGTCAAATGGTATTTCTGGTTCTAGATCCTTGAGGAATTGCCACACTGTCTTCCACAATGGTTGAACTAATTTACACTCCCACCAACAGTGTAAAAGCATTCCTATTTCTCCACATCCTCTCCAGCATCTGTTGTTTCCTAACTTTTTAATGATCACCATTCTAACTGGTGTGAGATGGTATCTCATTGAGGTTTTGATTTGCATTTCTCTAATGACCAGCGATCATAAGCGTTTTCCATATGTTTGTTGGCCACATAAATGTCTTCTTTTGAGAAGTGTCTGTTCATATCCTTTGCCCACATTTTTTGGGGGTTGTTTTTTTCTTGTAAATTTGTTTAAGTTGCTTGTAGATTCAGGATATTAGCGCTTTGTCAGGTGGATAGATTGCAAACAGTTTCTCCCACTCTGTAGGCTGCCTGTTCACTCTGATGATGGTTTCTTTTGCTCTGCAGAAGCTCTTTAGTTTAATTAGATCCCATTTGTCTATTTTGGCTTTTGTTGCCATTGCTTTTGGTGTTTTAGTCATGAAGTCTTTGCCCATGCCTATGTCCTGAATGTTATTGCCTGGATTTTCTTCTAGAGTTTTTGTGGCTTTAGGTCTTACATTTAAGTCTTTAATTCATCTTGAGTTAATTTTTGTGTAAGGTATAAGGAAGGGGTCTAGTTTCAGTTTTCTGCATATGGCTAGACAGTTTTCCCAACATCATTTATTAAATAGGGAATCCTTTCCCCATTGCTTGTTTTTGTAAGGTTTGTCAAAGATCAGATGGTTGTAGATGTGTGGAGTTACTTCTGGGGCCTCTGTTCTGTTTTGTTGGTCTATAAATCTGTTTTGGTACCAGTACCATGCTGTTTTGGTTACTGTAGCCTTATAGAATACTTTGAAATCAGGTAGTGTGATGCCTCCAGCTTTGTTCTTTTTGCTTAGGATTGTCTTGGCTATACAGGCTCTTTTTTGGTTCATATGAAATTTAAAGTAGTTTTTTTCTAATTCTGTGAAGAAAGTCATTGGTAGCTTGATGGGGATAGCACTGAATATATAAATAACTTTGGGCAGTATGGCCATTTGCACAATATTGATTCTTCCTATCCATGAGCTGGGAATGTCTTTCTATTTGTTTGTGTCCTCTCTTATTTCCTTGAGCAGTGGTTTGTAGTTCTCTTTGAAGAGGTCCTTCACATCCCTTGTAAGTTGTACTCCGAGGTATTTTATTCTCTTTGTAGCAAATGTGAATGGGAGTTCCCTCATGATTTGGCCCTCTGTTTGTCTGTTAGTAGTGTATAGGAATGCTTGTGATTTTTGTCATTGATTTTTGTATCCTGAGAATTTGCTGAAGTCGCTTATCTGCTTAAGGAGATTTGGGGCTCTGACTATGGGGTTTTCTAAATATACAATCATGTCATCTGCCCACAGCCGATATCATACTGAATGGGCAAAAGCTGGGAAGCATTCTCTTTGAAAACCAGCACAAGAAAAGGATGCCCTCTCTCACCATTCCTATTCGACATAGTATTGGAAGTTCTGGCCAGAGCAATCAGGCAAGAGAAAGAAATAATGGGTATTTATACAGGAAGAGAGGAAGTCAAATTTTCTCTGCTCACAGACTTAAAAATGTTAAAGCATTCACTCACTCACAATGTGGATATTTATCAGATATAATAGCTTGAGACAGGAGAGTGAAAGGAAGGAAAAAGGAAAATGGAGAGCAGAGAAAAAGGAAAAGAGTAAAGAGAAAATAAATGGGCATAATTGATTTTATTGGAAACAAGAATAGTTTGAGGCTGAGAAAAAGGATAAGTCACATTTTCTTTGAAGGACTGACTTATTTGTTTGTACTTACTCCTCATGCCTGTAGACCATTAAGACAATTTACAGTGGAGGCTGTTCTGAACTGCAGACATCCAGCCTTCTGCTTCTTCTTCTTCTTCTTCTTTTTTTTTTTTTTTGAGATGGGATTTTGCTGCTGTTGTTCAGGCTGGAGTGCAATGGGATAATCTCTGTTTACTGCAACCTCCGCCTCTGGGCTTCAAGTGATTCTCCTGTCTCAGCCTCCAGAGTAGCTGGGACTACAGGTGTGTGCCACCACGCCCAGCTAACTTTTGTATTTTCAGTAGAGACAGGGGTCTCACATGTTGGACAGGCTGGTCTCAAACTCCTGACCTCAGATGATCCTCCTGCCTCGGTCTCCCAAAGTGCTGGGATTACAGGCGTGAGCTACCGTGCCTGACTGCCTTCTGTTTCTTGAGGTAAGAAGGCCACACAGGGCAGATGTGCCACCCAACTTCCTAGATTCCTTTCTGCCCCCAAGTCAGGATTTGTGATTCTTATTGTTTTAATCTAAGGGATCCAGTTTTCTGTTTCTATTCTGAAAAATGTACAAAATACATGTTATTTATTAAATTTGAATACTTATACTACAGTATCTATAATTTTTATAATTTGAAGATTGCTCAAAATTTTAAATTTACTTTGTGAGCTATAGCCTTCTGATGAAGTAAGGTTAAAGGTTTCTCAGCTTGAAGATGAGCAAAAATGTGGGGTGTCACTGAGTCAATAATGTTCCAGGAGCAGAACTTGACAAAGACCTAGGGCTAAGGACAGGGACAGGGCTGGACTCAACATACAAAGAGACGAATTCAGACGAGCCCACTCTTGTGTTGTTAAAACCAAATGAAGCACAGTAAACCTTTTTTTCTTTCTGTTTTTTTTTTTTTTTTTTTTGCTTAAAGTCATGCATATCAAATCAGTCTCTTGGTTGATCAGACCAACCCTCCTGTCTCCTTATGCAACTAATGCCCAGGTGCACCATTTCACACAGAATATTTTGTTCTCTAAACATTGAGCTCTGTTGTACATTCAATAATTTCGTGAAGTATCTTTTCTTTATCAAATATCAAGATTTAAAAAAATCATCTCATCGTTAGCTTATAAAAAAACCCTTGCCTTTCTAAAAGAAGCACCAAGACACTCTTTAAAACCTAATAAATGAATGTCCCGATAAAGCAGAATAACAAGTCCATCTTTCTCCAAAGAGTAAGTACAATTTTGATAAAATAAGGTAACTGAACAGCATTATGTTACACAGAAAGCAACTGAGAAAATCTTAGAAATGTATAAGTAGAACTTAAACAGGAAGAGGGGTCACTCTTCCCTTTAAAAAAAAATTAGATTTTGACTATAAGATTTAAAATTATTTCACACTGTTTTTCATTTTTTTAATATAGTGCATTATTTAAACAATGTTATATTTTTGAAATTTGAAATTATTTGTCATCAAAATTGTATTAAAGTATATACACATAGATTCTAAAAAATTGTATTGCCTTAACTCTATTAGGGATCAAAAAAAAACCGTTATACAAGAAGCAAAGAATTTTTCAAGATAATTAATTTTGAAATTTCCTTGTATTATTTTTACATTTTAATAAGATGCCTATTATTATGAGATCAGCAAAGTACCCAGATGGAGCTGTATTTGAACATTGGTGAGCATAGAATACTGTGCATTTTTCCAATGGACTCTGATTATAGAAACACCTGTGCTATATAAATTTGTGCTGACCCACTGTGAAATTATGTTGTGTTCAACAGGCCTTAAAATTTCTCATTTCTCACCTGTGGGTGAAGCGTTCTACTTGCTATCAGCTTTAGTATCGCATACTTGTACTGACGAAGATAAACCACATGAAGCTATTTAAAATATTTTGTATTATTCATCTCGCAATATGCATTCTTACTTAAATGTTTCTGTCATTTTAAACTTACTAAATGAATATTTTAAATCTAATATAAAATCATTCCAAAAAACTTAAAGAAGACAAATATTTCCATTTTTTTTTTTAGAACTAGAAATTCTAAGTCTTTATTTGGAAATAGTCAAAGGTAAAATATCAGAGTTCAAAATGCTTCAGTAATTTTTATTGACATTTCTGTTTAAGAGAGGGGAATATATATGCTGTCAAATTAACTAACCAAGGCTGGGTGAATTCAACACAAAGCCTAGATAGATACAAAATAATCCATCATGTTGATACAGTGCCTTCAACACAAAAATACTAACCATGAGAACATTTCTGAGTTTTATGATAATAAACTGAGTTTTTCTGTTTTTATCTTGATATTTAGAGTTGAGTTATTACATCTAGAATTTTTAAGTTGCATAAGAATTTTTGGATTGCATAATGAAATATTGCAGTTTTCATAATTAAAATTTAAGGTGATTGGTTTCCATTTTATTTTAAAAACCTATGTCAATTATACGTATGACAGAATTGTAACAAGAAAATAAGATGCAGGATTTTATCAGATGGACAAATGCACCAAGTATGCGTACCTCAAATCTCTGTTGCATGCTCTCATCTTTAACTTGTAATCACTTCCAGAAGCACATTCAATTGGCTCTGGTTTTCCATGTCAAGTAAAAGATTATCCTGCAGAAATAAATTATTGATCTAAAGGAGGTTTCCTGCTCAAATTAGTTTAGAAAAGAAATAATAAATGTGTGTAAAGTGATTTTCTGATCTCATTTTATAATTATTTTCTGTAAATGCAGATTATTTCTGAGTCTTCTGCACCCACAAACAGCAAACCGTATGCTGCACTCTGCTAGGTTGTGCAGACCATGTGCAGCTACTTGTTACGACAAGCATAAATCAGTGTGAAACTCATAGACTATATAACTTATATCCAATTTATTACTAAAGACACATTTATTGGGATAGAATTTTTACAGTCTCATAATATTCTGAGAAGCTCACCATAAACTATTAACGAGAGAGGAACACTATTAATAATGAACATCCCCGAGCAGTTATTTTCGGAAAGTCTTTGACCCTGAGAATGAAATTAGTTAAGCTGGGCTTGAGATAATAAACATATACCCTTAATCCGATAAAATACCTGAAAAGAATTGTATTCATCTGATATCGTCATCTCAGAAACATCAGTTGCATTAAGAATTTTGTGAAGTATGAACGAAGGCTTTTAAATATTGATACCTTTGTATTACATTATAAAATATTTATTCCCATTCTCATTTTGAATGTGTTGGACAATTCCTGATTTTCTGCCATCATTCTAGGGCAGCTTGGTGTTTTAAAAATCATCTTATAGACAAAATTGTATTATTCAGATGACTTAATTTAGGTCATTTAGTTTAAATGATTTTTAAAGTATAAACTTTTAATTGCTATTTTTTTCATTAGTGTTTTTTTTTTTAAATATTGTCCACATCAGTTAAGTGTATTATCACTGAAGTATCACATGTTATTGCAACCTTAATAAAAGTGACTTAATTAACTTGTCAGGCTTTATCAACTGCTGAGTAAATAGATAAGCCCCATTTCAGTGTTTCTTTTTTTTCTTTTCTTTTTTCTTATGCTGATCCTGACTACCTAAATTGCACTCAGTTTTACAGACCTTTCACTGATCTATTACCAAAGAATCCGAAGGACAATGCCTTTCTACATGTAATAGGACTATGTCAGTGTGCGTGTGCCCATGTACCTGCTTTCATAAAATATTACGGACTCCCAAGATTTCTCTTCTGCAATTACATTTAGGTTAAATCATATGAGATTGCCAATATTTGGCTGTTTTGACTTATGATGAATATATGATTTGAAAATTGACATCAGTATGTAGTTCTCAATAAGTTTGTGCATTTATTTTTTCCTTCTTTTCCTTCTTTAAAAACGTGTGTGTGCAAAATATTTATGAATCGACCAATTTTCTAGGAAAAACATCTAAAGTAGAAAATGGAAGTTCCCTCTTGCTCATCCAACTCCAAGTCTTTTTTTTTTCTTTTTCTTTTCTTTTTTTTTTTTTTTTTTTTTTTGAGACAGAGTTTCGCTCTGTTGCCCAGGCTGGAGTTCAGTGGTGTGATCTAGGCTCGTTAGAGCCTACACCTCTTGGGTTCAAGTGATTCTCCTGCCTCAGCCTGTAGGATTACAGGCACTCACCATGATGCCCAGCTAATTTTTGTATTTTTAGTGGAAACGGTGTTTTGCCATGTTGGCCAGGCTGGTCTTGAACTCCTGACCTCAGGTGATCCGCCTGCCTCAGCCTCCCAAAGTGCTGGGATTACAGGCATCAGCCACCGTGTCTGGCTCCAGGTCCTTTTTTTTGAAGCATATATTTCCCAGGTTTACTTCCCCTTGAGTTTACACAGGCAGACACACGCATACATACGTTTCACAAAAACAGGATCGTGAGAAGAATGTGTTTGTAAAATTTCATTGTTCAACATTGAAAGAAACTTCCTAAAGTAAGTAAAACTGCCAAATGCAACTAATGATTGGAAAGAAGCAGCAAGAAACCAAGACAGAGACGTGGGACCCAAGAAACCCTGCGCACCTCACAGTGACACTGTCACGGAAGGTGAGCGGGAAGCCCATTGATGACTTTTTCAGGCCTTTTGCCACCTCTCCCTGAAGCTTTCTTAAGCCAAGTTTGTTTATATGTCTCATGTATTAATTTTTCTATTGCTGCTATAAAAATGACCTCAAACTGAGTGGCTGAGAACAACACAAATTTATCCACTTCCAGTTCTAGAGGTCAGAAGACCGAAATGGATCTCACTGGGCTAAACTCAAGGTGTAGGTAGAGCTGTGTTACTCCTGGAAGATCTGAAGGCAGGATGCATTTCCTTTTGCTTTTCAGCTTTCTCACATTCCTTAGCTCACGGTGCCTTCCTCCACTTCAAAGCCTGCAGTGTACATCTTTATATCTCTCTCTGATTCTCTGCCTCCCTCCTCCATGTGTAAGGACCCTTTTTCATTACAATGGGCCCACTCGGATTATCCAGGATAACCTCCTCAAGGTCAGTTTAGTAACAGCCTTAATTCCATCTGCAACTTTAGTTTCCCATTATGTGCAAACTGACACACCCACACGTCTTGGCTTTAGAATGTCGAGCTCTCTGAGGACCGTTATTCTTCCTTCCACTCCTCTCATACAGCACCAGGTCAGGTCATGATGCTCATGAACCCACCTCTTTAAAGCCTTTACCCAAATGCCAGCCTCTCTGTGATGCCCTCCCTGCCAGCCCCCCTAACATGGTAGCAGCCTTATCTCCATCCCATTCCCTGCTTTTTTTTTTTATCATAACACTCATCACCATCTCATACTTTACTCATTTTTCCTCTTCAAGATGGATATTCACCTACCAGAATGTTCATTCTATGGGGGTGAAGATTTTTGTCTTTTGTTTATAGCTATTTCTGGTGCACCTTGAAATGCTCAATATGCATTTATGTAACTAATGTCCTATGGCCCATGCTCTCTTAGGCATCCTCCAGCATGTTAAAGTCCCATATACGTGTATTATAATCTCCATAATCCCTGCATATTAAAAGTTATATCTAACCACTTATGTACTGTAAATTAGGTGCCAAAAATTCAACAGTCAACAATTTTAATCAACAAATGCTTACTGAGAACTACTATGTCAGGCACTGTATCTTATCAGAGTTAGCCTTATTTTAAAAAATTGATGTACTGTGGCATATGTACATGCTAAATTTAAGTATTGTTTTGGGACATATTTGTATCACAAGTTTGTGTGCCCATGTGTGCGATTGTGTTTGAGCTCCATCAAGAGTTCATTTCTGCTAGCACATAGGCTGCATGTGCTTTGGAGAAAAAGCTCCTTACTTGTATTGAGTAATAAAGGTCCTAGATTTAAAAAAAAAAATGTTTATTTCTTACTGTGTGGACTGTCCAAACCTTTACAAGACTGCCACGGAGTCAGGGCAAGTACGCAACAGTACCGAAGGGTGTAGAGAGAAAATAATACAATGGCCCTAAACATGAACAGAATTTCCAAAGAGAAGAATGCTTATAGCTGAAAGGAGAATATCAACATTTAAATTCAGCAAAATTATCTAGTATAGCAAAATCACATTTTAATGTGCAAACATAATACCCTCCTCTAATTAGTAACTAAAATGAGATAACATTTGCATTATAACTTTTATGAGAAAACTCTCGGTAATCATATAATCATGGAAAACATTGGTACTATTGGATCATATATGAGCCACTACTTTAAGAAATTGTCAGTACAATCAATCTTTAAGTTTTTACTATTGTGGTTTCTTTAACTATTCCCATGAGATAATTTTTTGATATAAAATTTTGGTCTTCACAGAATCATATATGGGCAATGTTTAAATTCATTCAATCTGTCAAATCCAGGCAAAAATACCTGTAAGATATTCCAACATCAAATCAAATAGCATTTTGTGGCTCTAATAAACTGAAATAAAGAAGGTATTGATGTACAGATATAATCATCCTATAACTAGAATATGCCCAATTGTCCCATGAATGCGTAAGTAGTATTCTCTAATACATAGGTTTGACTGATGCACTGTCAAATTGTTGTGGACTGCAGCTTTTATTTCACTATATTGTTTGTAGAATTCATAGTATTCTTGATAAATAATGCAACTATATCATTTCCATTATATTCTCAATTGTGTCATTTTCTGTCTTACATTTGGGGCGGAAATGTATTTTGAGGTAGTTTGTACTTGTTGAGTTTAATTGCTGATGAACTCACAGAAAAATAAAGACTTGAGATTAAAGCCCCAGCACAGACAACCTGCAATGAACTGTGTCCACTTTTCCAGATCCCAGCTTCCACCAGACAGGAAGAGGCTGCTCCTTGGAGGAATTTCAGTTTAATCAGGGGAAGAGCAGAAAATACATGGAAAACATAATCAATAAAATCGACAACTTAAAATAGGATAAATGCTGTTGGTGAAGAAGATACATTAGAATAAAATGTTACAAGACTGTCTGTGGTTGCTTGGGCTAGGGTAATGAAGCTCCTTTGCCCTTCTGGCAAGAAGAGACATTTGAGCTAAATTTCAGAAATGGATTTTGTCAACCACTTATGTTATTAGAAGGAAGAGGTAACACGGCCGGGCGCGGTGGCTCACGCCTGTAGTCCCAGCACTTTGGTAGGCCGAGGCAGGCGGATCTCGAGGTCAGGGGATGGAAACCATCCTGGCTAACACGGTGAAACCCCGTCTCTACTAAAAATACAAAAAATTAGCTGGGCGTGGTGGCGGGTGCCTGTAGTCCCAGCTACTCGGGAGGCTAAGGCAGGAGAATGGCGTGAACCCGGGAGGCGGAGCTTGCAGTGAACCGAGATGGCACCACTGCACTCCAGCCTGGGCGACAAAGCAAGAATCCGCCTCAAAAAAAAAAAAAAAATATTAAAGAAGGAAGAGGTAACATATTAGAAGTGGATATGTGGGAATCCATCACAACCAATGGAATGTGGTGGGACAACGCAGGAACATGGCCTTCCATGATAGGTGAAAGTGTTTCATTGGATGTTTGAAATTGGATGTGAATTTCATTGGATGTGAATATTGCACATATTCCATTGCTCCCTCTGCAGACTTCCAAATAACTTTGTTCCTCTGTGACCATTAAAGTAGTCACTATTGAGAAAATTATTTGACTCTGTTTCTGCTACTAGAATTGAGCTCCTGCAGAGGAGGAGACAACATAGTCTTAGCACTCTACAATTTACAATGTCTGTGCTCCTCACTCAAAGTCACCATTTAGGAACATTTTCTATTAAATGTTGACACAGGGCTTTTTAATTTTAATTTTAAAATTGTATCGGTTGCAGTATAAATGTAACACATCTGAAAATTATCATTCATAGATAACTGTACACAACTTCTGCCTTCTGCATGTGCTTTCAGTGAATAGAAACTTCTATAGCATTTAAATGGAAGTTTTATGTTTGAGAAGACAACTTAATGAATAAAAATTGGACCAATACATAGAAAGGACCTTGTGGAATACCTGTTGAGCAAATGATTCTTCACCTTCCTGTAATTAAAATGGTTTCATAAGAATGATATTCATCTGTCCCTAGTTTTCTTTTTTTCTCTTCTTGTTTTAAAAATTTTGTTTTATTTTACTTTAAGTTCTGAGATACATGTGCTGAACGTGCAGGTTTGTTACATAGGTATACTTGCGCCATGGTGGTTTGCTGCACGTATCAACCTGTCATCCAGGTTTTAAGCCCTGCGTGCATTAGGTATTTGTCCTGATCCTTTCCCTCCCCTTGTCCCCCACCCCACAAGAGGTCCAGGTGTATGATGTTCCCCTCCCTGTGTCCATGCATTCTCATTGTTAAACTCCCACTTACGAGTGAGAACATGCAGTATTTGGTTTCTGTTCTGTGTCAGTTTGCTGAGAATGATGGCTTCCAGCTTCATCAACTCGTTATTTTTTATGGCTGCATAGTATTCCATGGTGTATATGTGCCACATTTTATTTATCCAGTCTATCATTGAAGGGCATTTGGGTTGGTTCCATGTCTTTGCTATTGTGAACAGTGCTGCAATAAACATACGTGTGCATGTCTTCATAGTAGAACGATTTGTAATCCTTTGGGTATACACCCAGTAGTGGGACTGCTGGGTCAAATGGTGTTTCTGGTTCTAGATCCTTGAGGAATCACCACACTGTATTCCATAATGGTTGAACTAATTCACATTCCCACCAACAGTGTAAAAGCATTCCTATTTCTCCACATCCTCTCCAGCATCTGTTGTTTCCTGACTTTTTAATAATTGTTTTTCCTCTTTTTAAGTCAGAGTCATTAAAGCACAATTGACATACAATAAAATTAATATTTGGGGGGTAAAGTTGCACATACTTTGATAAATGCATATGACCATGTAACAATGACCATGGTAAAAAAAAAACCAGGACAGCTGAATTCTATCACATCAAAAAGTTACTTCATGCCCTTTTGCAACCAATTCCTTCTCCTCTATAGCCATTTCCCTAGCTGAACTTATTTGTGGCCTTATGGATTTGACTTTTTCAGAATTTCAAATGCATAAAATAATACAGTGCATATCCTTCTTTGTTTGGATTGATTTATTTATCATAATAGAGTTGAGCTCTATAATTTAAAATATAATAAATTAAAAATAAAAACTATTTCTTTTTGAAGATCTGAAGTTACTGGGTTCTGCACTTAGAATCTGTTTTATGTTAAACAGGCTCGACGAAACATGATAGACGACTAAATTAGGAAAAATAATACATGTTAGACAATCCATCTTAAATATCTCTTGCTATGTAGAAATGTAGCATATTTGCCGTGATTTTATGTATGGCAACTCCACAGAAAAGCACACATTTCCTTAGCATTTGATGTTCAAACCCAGAAGCAGTTGGAAAATCTGCCACAGATTTTATTTTTTAGATTTCCCATTTGAGTGCACCACAATGGATAAAGGAGGAGCAAACAGTCTGACATGCTATTTATCCAGCTATAAAATTATCATAATTAGAGAAAGTGAGATATTTTGGTATTTAAAAGAGCTTATTAGTTCTTTGAATAATATTTATAAACAAATATTTGCATTTAAAATATATATAATTATATGAAGCATAATCGAAGAAACTAGTTTTAGGGTTGTAAATTAATGGTTATTTATAGTTGCCATGAAATTGATAGGGATTTTAGATATTAAAAAAAGTGTCTGTTTATATATGAGTCATATTTACTCCCATGGGGGCATGAGAGGTATTTAAGGCTTCTCACAGATGTTCCAAGATCAATTTATGTAGTGCAAAGAACTAGCGACATATATATGAACATTATGGAAGGTGAATCGGATTTTTTAAGCCTTAAAAATGAATTCATGCACAACAGCAGCAAAGAGTCTAGGAGATATTCTATATTTGCATATGTCAGCCCAGCTGCAAATCTACAGAATTGATGACTGTCTCTCATTGTTAGATTAGGAATGTTAATAAAGGATGCTGCCCATCCCAAATCAATAAAACTTTGGTATTAAAACAAACCACAAGTTCTGTAGAGGAAGAATTTCAGAATTATATGTAATGGAATCTTCACATCTAATTTTGTTTATGTTAAGAGTTTAGTTTTTAGAGTAGTTTTAGGGTTAAAAGAATTGAGTAGAAAGTACAGAGAATTCCCATATACCTCCCTCTACCATGCACACAGTTCGCCTCTTATTCACATCTTACCTTAGTGCGGTACATTTGTCACAGCTCCTGAGCCAATATTGATACATTATTATTAACTGCAGTACATAGTTTATATTAGGGTTCACTCTATGTGTTATGTCCTACTCTGGGTTTTCACAAATGCATCATGTTATGCGCCTATCATTAATGCCATACAGAATAGTTTCACGGTCCTAAAATTCCCCTGTACTCCACCTATTCATTCTTTCCCCCTTCTGTCTATCCCTCCCTCATACTCCTTGCAACCACTGATCTTTTTATTGTCACTACTTTTTGCCTTTTTCAGAAGGTCATATAGTTGGAATTATACAGACTGGCTTCTTTAGTTTAGCGACGTGCACTTGAGGTTTCTCTGCGTCTTTCTGTGGCTTGATATTCCATCTATTTTTATTACTCAGTGATGTCCCATTGTCTGGATGTACCGCAGTTTATTTACCCATTCACCTATCGAAGGACATAATGGTTGCTTCCTATTTTTGGCATTTCTGAATAATGCTGCTATAAACATTCATGTGTAGGATTGTGTGTGGACATAAATTTTCAATTCATTTGGATAAATATCAAGGGTTGTGATTGCTGGGTGGTAGGGTAAGACTATATTTAGCTTTATAAAAAAACTGCTAAACTCTCTTCCACAATGACTGCAGCACTGTGCATTCCCGTCAGCAATGAATGAGAGCTCCCATTGCTCTACCTTCTTGCCAGCATTTGGTATTGCGCCTGCTTTAGATTTCAGCTTTATAATGGATGTGTAGTGATATCTCATCGTTGTTTCAATTCGCAATTCCCTAATGAGGATTGAGGACCCTTTCATATACTTATTTGCCATCTACATGTCCTTGATGAGATGTCTGTCCAGATCTTTCCCCTACCTCTAAACTGGATTTTTTGTTTTCTTATTGTTGAGCTTTGTGAGTTTATTGTATATTTTTCAAATAAGTTCTTTGTCAGATATGTCTTTTGCAAATATGTTCTCCCAGTCTGTGATTCATCTTTTTATTTCCTTTTGAGTAGCTTTTGAAGAGCAACTAAAAAGTCATCAGCAAACCCCCGGTAATCAAAATTATCCTCTATGTTATCTTCTAGAAGTTGTATAATTTTGCATTTGATATTTAAGTCTATGATCCATTCTGAATTAATTATTGTGAAAGATATAAAGTTTCTCTGTAGCCTGAATTTTTGGCATTTTTCTTGAAGACAGACTATCAATGCTTTAATTTTTTTCATTGTATTAGCAACTATCCTGGGTCTTTTGCCTTTTCATATACAGTTTACAATCAGTTGGATTATGTTGAATCAATACATCAAATTAAGAAGAACTGACAACTTAACAATATTTGTCCTCTTATCCAAGAATATGGAATATCTCTCCATGTATTTAGATCTTTAATTTCTTTCATCAGTTTTGTATTTTCCTCATAAAAACTTATACATACTTTATTAGATTTATACCTAAGTATTTCCATCTTTTTGGTGCTATTGCAAATGGTATGTCTTAAATTTCAAATTCCAATGGTTCATTGTTGTTATGAAATGAACAGGAAAGCAATTGACTTGTACATATTAGGCTTGTATGCTTGTATCCTGACACATTGTATTTTCCCCGTTGATATTTATATTAATTTATTTTATGTTATTTTATTTTTTGGATACAGAGTCTCACTCTGTTGCCCAGGCTGGAGTGCAGTGGCACAATCTTGGCTGTCTACAAACTTCGTTTCCCAGGTTCAAGCAATTCTCCTGCCTCAGCCTCCAGAGTACCTGGGATCACAAGTGCATACCACCACGCCTGGCTAATTTTTGTATTATTAGTAGAGACGGGATTTCACTATGTTGGCCAGGCTGGTCTCGAACTCCTGACCTCAGTTATTTACATTAATATTATCTGTGAACAAAGAGTTTTATTTCTTCCTTCCCAATCTGCACTTCTGTTATTTTCTTTCCTTGTCTTATTGCATTAGCTAAGACTTCCAGTACAATGTTGAACAAGAGTAGTGAGAACACACTTGGCTTGTTTCCAATCTTAAGAGGAAAGCATCTAATTCTTACTATCAAATCTGATGTTAGCTATAGATTTTTTCTTTCTACTCTTTAGGAAGTTGAGGAAGAACCAGCTCTTGATTTCATTGATTTTTCTATGCTGATTTTCTGTTTTCAATTTTATTGATTACTACTCTAATTTTTATTATTTATTTTCTTCTGCTTATGTTAGATTTAATTGGCTCTTCTTTTTTAATTTTCAAAGGTGGAATCTGGCATTATTGATTTTAGAACTTTCTTCTTTTCTAATGTATGTAGTTGATGCTATAAACTTCCTGTTAAGTACTGCTTTTGATGCATCCCACACATTTTGGTAAGTTGTATTTTCAGTCTAATTTAATCCAAATTGTTTTTAAGTTTATCTTGAAAATTATTCTTTTACCTATGTGTTATTTAGAAGTATGTTGTATACCCTCCAAATATTTTGGAATTTTGCCACTATCTTTATCTTGTTGTTTTGAGTTTAATTCCACTGCGGTCTGAGAACATATGGTGGATAATTTCTATTATTTAAATGATTTAAAGTTTGTTTTATAGCCAGACTGTGGTCTATCATGGTGAATGTTCCATGTGAGCTTGAGAAGAATGTTTCTTCTACTGTTGTTGGATGAACAACACTACAGATGTTAGATAGTGTTGATTGATGGTGCTGTTCAGTTTAACTATCTCTTACTGATTTTCTTGATCTGTCAATTATAGATAAAGGAGTGTTGAAGTCTCCAGCTATAATAGTGCATTTGTCTATTTCTCCTTGCAATTCTATCAGTTTTTGCCTCATGTATTTTGATGCTCTGTTGTTACCTTCACACACGTTAAAAATTGTTATGTCTTCTTGGAGTTTGGAACACTATCTCATTATGTAATACCCCCTCTATCCCAGATAATCTTACTTGTTCTAAAGTTTGCTTTATTTGCAATTAATATAGCCATTCCATTTTCTTTTGCTGTTGCTAGCATGATACATCTTTCTCCATTCTTTATCTTTAATCTGTTTTTTTTATTTATAAAGTGGGTTTTCTATAGGCAGCATATCATTGGATCTTACTTTTATCATTTGTTTTCATTTGGATTCACTATGACAATCTCTGTATTTTAATTGGTGTATTTAGACCATTCCCATTTAAACTGATTATTGATGTAGTTGAATTAATGTCTACCATATTTGTAAGTGCTTTACATTCGTTGATCTTTGTTTCTTCTTTTATTTATTTATTTATTTATTTGTTATCCTCTCATTTTTTTTTGCCTTTCTGGTTTTAATTGAGTATTTTATATGATTTTATTTTCTCTCCTCCTTTAGCATATAAATTATGCTTACTGAAAATAATTTTAGTGGTATCCAAAGAGTCTGTAGAATGCACTTACTTACTACTAATGTATATTCATTTTTGAATAACACTATTATGCTTCATGAGTAGTGAAGGTACTTTATAAACAAGTATTACCAATGCTTCCCACCCATTTCTTGTAACATTCATGTCATGCATTTTATTTTTCATAAGCTATAATAATCCAATACATAGTTTTTATTTTTGGAATATGCTGTTACCCTTTAGATAATTAAGAATAGGAAAATTAAAAATTAAAAGATTTTATTTTACTTTCATTTATTTGGTCTCTAACACTTTTCTTTTTGTAGGTCTGAGTTTCTGACCTATATCATTTTCATTTTTTATTTTTTGGAGGACTCTTGTAATATTTATTGCAAGTTAGGTCTACTGCTGGCAAATGCCAACAATTCTTGTTTATCTGAAAAATCTTTATATCCCCTTCATCTTATTTTTAGGGATGAGGTCTTGCTCTGTGGCCCAGGCTGGAGGGCAGTGGCATGATCATAGCTCACTGCTTGAACTCCTGAGCTCAAGCAATCCTCCCAACTCAGCCTCCTGAGGACATGGAATTACAGGCATGTGCCATCACACCTGCTCCACTTCACATTTGAAGAATAGTTTTTCTGAATAGAGAATTCTGACTTGGTGACTTTTTCCTTTAAAAAAAAATATGTTTAGGGGTACATGTGCAAGTTTGCTATATAGGTAAACTGTGTGTCCTGGGGGTTTAATGTACAAATTATTTCATCACTCAAGTAATAAACATAGTACCTGATAGGTAGTTTTTCAATCCTTAGCCTCTTCCCACTCTCCATGCTCAGGTAATCCTTGGTGTCTGTAGTTCCTTTCTTTGTGACCATATGCACTCAAAGCTTAGCTTCCACTTATAAGTGAGAACATGTGGTATGTGGTTTTCTGGTCCTGCTTAAGATAAGGCTTCCAGCTTCATTGATGTTGTTGCTGAGAAATCACTATATCCCCTTCATAATTTTTAAAGATGAGGTATTGTTCTGTGACCCAGGCTGGAGGGCAGTGGCATGATCAGAGCTCCCTACAGCCTCAGACTTGAGCTCAACAAAGGACATGATCTCATTCTCATTCTTTTTTATGGCAGCAAAGTATTCTATGGTATATATGTACCACATTTTCTTTATCCAGTCTACCATTAATGGGCATTTAGGTTGGTTCCATGTCTTTGCTGTCATGAACAATGCTGTGATGAACATATGCATGCATGTGTCTATGGTGAAAGAATTTATATTGGGTATATACCCAATAATAGGATTGCTGGGTCAAATGGTAATTCTTTATTAAGTTCTTTAAGAAATTGCCAGCCTGCTTTCCACAATGGCTGAACTAGGTCATATTCCCACCAGCAGTGCATAACCATTCAATTTTCTCCATAACCTGGACAGCATCTGCTTGTTTGTTTGTTTGTTTATTTATTTATTTATTTTTGAGATGAAGTATTGGTCTGTTGCCCTGGCTGGAGTGCAATGGTGCAATCTTGGCTCACTGCAACCTCCACCTCCTGGGTTCAAACAATTCTCCCGCCTCAGCCTCCCGAGTAGCTGGGACTACAGGCACACATGACCATGCCTGGCTAATTTTTGTACTTTTAGTAGAGACAGGGTTTCACCATGTTGGCCAGGCTGGTCACTGGTCTCTAACTCCTGACCTTGTGATCCACCCGCCTCCCAAAGTGCTGGGATTACAGGCATGAGCCACCGCGCCTGGCCAGCATCTGTTATTTATTTAACTTTTAATAATAGTCATTCTGACTAGTGTGAGATAGTATGTCATTGTGATTTTGATTTGCATTTTTCTAATGATTAGTGATGTTGAGCATTTTTTCATATGCTTGTTGGCAGTGTGTATGTTTTCTTTTGAAAAGTGTCTGTTAAATGTCCCTTGCCCACTTTTTAATGGGGTTGTTTGTTTTTTTGCTGGTTAAATTATTGAAGTTCTTTATATGCTGGATATTAGACCTTTGTCAGATGCAGTTTGCAAATACTTTCTCCCATTGTCTAGGTTGTCTGTTTACTCTACTGAGAGACTCTTTGGCTGTGCAGAATCTCTTTGGTTTAATTAGGTCCCATTTGTCAGTTTTTGTTTTTGTTGCAATTGCTTTTGGTGTCTTTTTCATAAAAATCTTTGCCAGGTCCTGTAACAAGAATGATATTACCTAGGTTGTCTTCTGGGTTTTTTGTAGCTTTTGATTTTAGATTTAAGTTTTTAATCCATCTTGAGTTGATTTTTGCATATAGTATAAGGAGTGGGTCCAGTTTAAACCTTCTGCATATGGCTAGACAGTTGTCCCAGCACCATTTATTGAATAGGGAGTCTTTCCCCATTGGTTTTTTTTTTTTTTTTTGTGGATTTTTTCGAAAACCAGATGGTTGCAGTTGTACAGCCTTATCTCTGGGTTCTCTATTCTGTTCCATTGGTCTATGTGTCTATTTTTGTAACATTACCATGCTGTTTTGTTTACTGTTGCCCTGTAGTATAGTATAGTGAGCTTCTGTTAATGAGCTGTGATGTTAACAAGTAATTCTCAGTTTTTCCTTTCTGCTATGGACTCAACTGTCTTCTATTAAAATTCATATGGTGAAGCCCTAATCCCAAAGTGATGGTATTTGGAGATGGGAGCTTTGAGAGGTAATTAGGCTGATATGAGGTCATGAGGGTGAGGCCCTCATAATGGGATTTGTGCCCTTATAAGAAAAGACACTGCAGAGTTGGCTATGGCTATAGGAGAACATAGTAAAGAGGTAGCTGTCTGCAAGTTGTGAAGTGTGCCCTCACCTTGCCTGCACCCTGATATTGGATTTCCAGTTTCCTGAGAGGAAATGAATTTCTGTTGCTTAAGCCACCCAGTCTATGGTATTTTATGAGAGTGCAAACTGCCTAACACATCTTCCTTGGCTCAGTCAGGAAGGCTGGAGAGGATTGGAATGGAATATTTTATTTCCTTTTCCCCAGGTTAATTAGGCTCTGGTAAAGCCCATGTTTGTTAGGTTCAAATAGAATAGTTTCCTTTGAGGGCAAGCCTTTGTTAAGGAGAACAAAAAAACTCCAAGTACGTTAGAAAATAGTTACCTTTCTCCTTTCCCTGCCTGAAGCAAGAGGGGATTTTTTTTTTCTCTGATCTTCACATTTAAAAATGCTTGGAGCTCCTAGAGGTAAGTGAGAAAGTGGGGACCCCTCATAAGGCTGGCTCTCCAGGCACTTTTATCTTTCAATCTAGTCTACATTCAAGCTCAGTTAAGGAAATTAGTCAATTCCCTTTAAATGTTCCTACAAGTTGCTGGCTCCAGCATTTGTTCTGGCCCTGGTAAAATGTCTTTCTCTGTATTTTCTCTCTCTCTCTCTCTGTCTCTCTCTCTCTCTCCAGTCTTCAGGGGTGTAGTTCGCCCTGCAAATTCTATTTTTTGATAGATCTAAGATCTCAGGTCAGTTTGTTCTGTTTTTCTAGTTGTGATTCTAGGAGTGATAACTTTCAATTTTTTTACTTCTAGGACTGCAAACAAGAAGTCCCTCTACATCTAATTTTTAATATTTGTATATGGATGGAACATCTTATTGGAAATCCAAGAATTCATCCCTGAAAATATATTACTTTATATGTCTTTCTATGATGTATTGATTTATATGAAAATATTGAGGAAACTAAATAGGTCAGTTTGGACAATCACTACAGTATACACATAAAGGAGCCAAGAAAACACTAGCCTTGATTCTGAACTTGATTGAGTTTGCTCACAAGAGGAGAGTTTCAACATAAAAATATATCTCCTCCAAGTCACTTTGAGTATTGCCTGAAGCAAAGAAGAAATTGAAGAAAAGCCAGGAGTTCAGGACACTGACAACTTTGCCACAATGATATTTTTCTTTCTTCTATCTAATGAGCATCAAAAGGGAAGATGTTGCTCAGCTACCATAGAGGTATGTGAAAAATTTTCCTCAACAGCCAGTTCTGCTGCTTCAGAGAATCTGGGAGAAAAGGAAGCAGAATTCTACATGGCAAGTAAGGCTATTAGTGTAACCACTCAAATATAAAGGGAGACATGAATCCAGTCTAACATGAAACAACATTTTGGATAAACTTTTAAACCACTTATGATGTGAACTTTAAAACTGGAGAATATATAATGATTCACATCATCTGTAAGACAAATATTTGTGTGATCCACCTAACGCTGTTTAGTAGGTGCCAAATAATTGTACTTTTTCTCACTTTGTCCTCTTGTATGAAGAAATAGTAGAACTGATAGCAGTAAATAAGAATGACATAGTGTATCTACAACTGGGTACATATGTTGCTAAAAACTGTAAGTGTCTAACACATAAAATGTATGAAACTGAAACCAAGGTCTACTTTTTTGTACAATTAATAAAAATAATCTGGATAAAAATAAACCCCAATATGGAGAAAAATGAGTTTAACATAATATCTAGACAGCTGGCTAAGTGAATGCAGCTGAAAAAATGCATAATTACATCTCTGTTATGTTTTTATAAAACACAAGTCACAAGTCAAATGTAAGCATTTGTTTTTATTTTGCCAAATGATCATGTCCAGTACACTATATAAAGCCAAGCTAAATAAGACTAATGCACAATCCTAATTCACTGTGATTGGAACTTCCTGCTGGCATTTATGTATTGGTTTAAATGCATTAGAAAGCAAGACATCTATTATATTTAGTAGATGATTGAATGAATCCTATTTGTAAATGCTAATAATCAATGTGAGTTTAATGAAAATCATATCATGAAAATGAGGGTATATACTCAAACCTAAAGTTCACATTCTGTTCTTCACCTGAATTAGAATGGCCATAGTCTCAAAACTTTGCTCTTGTAACTAAATGAATAAAAAACAATAAAAGGTTTAATAATAATCTATATTTATTGAATTTGCAATTGAAATATTTTTAAGAGCAAGTGTGTGGGATGATATGAGAGAATAACTAAACAGCAGTGTGAGGTGATGTAAAGAGCCTCAGAGTGATCTGGATTCTTTCTATTCTCATTTCTGCATTAATTCACTGGGTTAATGGCTGGTGACTTTGCACCAGCCATTTTTATTTTTCTGTATAAATTTATGTTTTCTTGTCTTTAAAGTGAATTAATTAAACCAAAATCTTTAAGTTTTGACTGATTGAAAAATTATCTGAGTCTATGAGATTGCTAACAAATCCAGCGGGACTCCCATTTCCATAAACTATTCATTATAATTGCTATTAAAATGGTCACTCTCTGATACTGGGGCTCTTGTGACAATTATGTAGGATCCTGCACCTGTCACAGAGCAAGGGACTAGTAGAACATTAGTATCCTCAGGTTCACTTCCTACCATTGGTCCATGTTCAGATTTGAGTTGTAATTTCCATATGTTCTATGCATGGAACTCTATGATTCCTTATTTCAACTTTCTCAAAACTCAAGGAGTTCATTTTATTCTTATATACATTTTGTAAATATCTGCCTTTATTATTCACCTAACAGTCATCTTTCTTCTATACGACCTGACTCTGACTCTATCTACTCCTAAGTGGATTCTACTTGGTAATGAGAGTGGTGTCACACTGCTTGCCTTTTTGATAAAAATAATGGCATACTTCATTTTACTGTGCTTGATTTTATCATGCTTTGCAGATATTGTGTTTTTTACACATTAAAGTTTTGTGGCAACCCTGCCTCCAAAAAATCTGTAGGTGCCATTTTCCCAACAACATGTGCTCACTTGGAGTTTTCGTGTCACGTTTGCAATTCTTAGAATATTTCAAACTTTTTCATTATTGTTATATCTGTTATGGTGATCTGTGATCAGTGATCTCTGGTGTTACTGTTGTAATTGCTTCAGGGCACCAGATGCAGCACCCATAGAAGACGACAAACTTAATTGATCAATGTTGTGTGTGTTCTGCCTGCTACACCGACAGATCATTCTGAGACATAAGGATATTGAAATTAGGCAAATTAATAATCCTGTGATGGCTTCTAAGTTTTCAAGTAAAAAGAAGAGCTCCACATTTCTTACTTTAAATCAAAAGCTAGGAATGATTAAGTTTAGTGAGGAAGGCATGTCAAAAACCAAGATAGGCCAAAAGCTAGACCTCTTGCACTATTAAACCAAGTTGTTAATGTCAAAAAAATGTTCTTGAAGGAAATTAAAAGTGCTATTCCAGTGAACACATGAATGGGAAGAAAGTGAAACAACCTTATTGGTTATATGGATAATGTTTTAATGGTCTTAATAGAAGATCAAACCAGCTACAAAATTCCCTTAAGACAAAGCCTAATCCAGAGAAAGACTCTAACTCTCTTTAATTCTGTGAAGTCTGAGAGAGGCAAGGAAGCTGCAGAAGAAAAGTTTTAAGGTAACAGAAGTCAGTTAATGATGTTTAAGGAAAAATGACATCTCCATAACATAACAGTGCAAAGCAAAACAGCAAGTGCTAATATAGAAGCGGCAGCAAGTTATCCAGAAGGTCTAGATAAGATAACTGATGAAGGTGGCTATGCTAAACAACATATTTTCAATGTAGATGAAACAATCTTTTATTGGAAGAAGATGCTATCTAGGGCTTTCATAAATAGAGAGCTTGGCTTCAAGTCTTCAAAGAACTGGCTTACTCTCTTATTAGGAGCTAATGCAGCTAGTGACTTTAGGTTGAAGGCAATCTCATTAACCATTCCAAAAATCTTAGGGCCTTTAAGAATTATGCTCAATCTACTCTGTCTGTGCTCTATAAATGGGGAAACAAAGCCTGAACATCGTGACAGCACATCTGTGTACAGCATGGGTCACTGAATATTTTAAGCCCACTCTTGAGATCTACTGCTCAGGAAAAAAAGATTCTTTTAAAATATTAAAGCTCATTGACAATGCACCTGGTCCTCCAAGAGCTGTGATGCAGATATACAAGGGGATTTATATTGTTTTCATGCCTGCTAACACAATATCCATCTTTCAACTCATGAATCAAGGAATACTTCCATGTCTTATTATTTAAGAAATGTATTTCATAAGACTATAACTGCCATAGAGAGTGATTCCTCTGATGGATCTGGTCAAAGTAAATTGAAAACCTTCTGGAAAGGAGTCACAATTCTAAATGTCATTCAGAACATTTGTGATTCATGGGAGGAAGTGAAAATATCAACATTAATGGGAGTTTGAAAGAAGTTTATTCCAATCCTCATGGATGACTTTGAGGATTTCAAGAGATCAGTGGAGAAAAGTAACTGCAGTTGTGGTAGAAATAGCAAGTGAACTAAAATTAGAGGTGGAGCCTGAAGAGAGGACTGAATTGCTGCAATCTCATGATCAAACTTGGTGAATGAGGAGTTGCTTCTCATGGATGAACAACAAACATGGTTTCTTGAGATGGAATCTGTTTCTTATGAAGGTGCTGTGAACACTGTTGAAATGACAACATAGGATTTAGGATATTTCATTAATTGAGTTGCTACAACCTTGGCAAGATTTGAGAGGATTGAATCCAACTCTGAAAGAAGTTCTAATGTGGGAAAAATGCTATCAAGTGGCTTCACATGCTACAGAGAAATATTTCATGAAAGGAAGAGTCAATCAATGAGGCAAACTTCATTGTTACCTTATTTGAGAAATTGCCACAGCCACCCCAGGCTTTAGCAACCACAACCCTGATCAGTCAGCAGTCATCAGCATGGAGGTAAGCCCCTCCACCAGCAAAAAGATTATGACTCCCTGAAGGCTCAGATGATCTTTGGCAATTTTTAGCAATAATGTATGTTAATTATGATATATACACGTATTTTTTAGACAATGCTATAGCACATTTAATAAACTATAATATAGTATGAACATAACTTTTATATGAACTAGAAAGCAAAAAAAATGCACCTGACTAACTTTGTCACCACATTCACTTTCTTCTGGTGGCTTGGAACTGAACATGCAATATCTCCAAAGTATGCCTGTAGATTGCTTCATCTAAAATATATTTACTATACACCTACAATAGACTAAGTCCTTTCAAGTTGAGTATGACCTAACAAAAATTACATGACTCAAAAGCAATTTCACCAGGCTTTTCTATCTAGTGTTTTCTATCTAGTGTTAGTCAATATTTTTCTTTTTCTGGTATGTGTGAATTGCAATATAATCTTAAGGACCTGTTGCTGGACACAAAGCAAGATCTCATTAATGTATTCATTGTAAGTTAACAATAAGTTTTCTGAGAAAGTATACATTTTTACTAGATATTTTTCTACCAATGTGCCCAAGAAATATTGAATATTCAATGAAGTATGCAGCAGCTCACAGGAAACCCATAGTAATTATCACCTTAATATAAAATAAAGATGGATTTTAAAAATTTTCTTTTCTCTCCAGAGATACATTGCTTCAGTGGAGGAGTTGATGTTCACAACTGAGGGGTTCATCTTTTTGGATGTAGGCTCTATTCTCTCAAACTAGCAATTATGTCTTAATATATTTTACAGATAGTGTTCAATATCCATTTACCATATCCTTAGCTACATATGTGATCTATGAGAAAACACATATAAGCATTAGAATACATACAAAGTTAAATGAAACCTACTGAGAAATAAATCTAATATGAGTATGAGCAGAATTAAAGAATGAAGAAATACTGGAATATTCCAATTCGTGTTGCTTTTCTGAGCTGAGGCCGTTTTGGCATTGGACTACACTAAAAAAAAGAAAAAAAAAAGACTAGCTTGGCTTGCAAAAGTCTTAGGAGATTTTACTGTGTTGGAAGCAGCCTGAAAACAAGAATATAAATATCTGTTGCATAACCTTCAAAATGAACAATGTTTATAAGGCTTACATATAAGAAATTGCTTTCTTGTTTACCACTGATACTTGCTCTGGGCCCAAAGTTATTTACCCTTGGAAGAGCATTGCTCAGGAGCTCTCGGAACATTATGGCTGCTCAAATTTTGGTCCTTCTCCCATGATCAGCATTGATAGATTTTACTTATTATTTTTATTTACATTTCAAATAGAAGATATTGAAAGAAAATAGGCTGAGATAAAAGCTGCACGCCATCACTGAGTGGTTCATTTAATATAAAAGCCAAGGCAAGATGAAAGTAAAGACACACATTCTGTGTGTGTGTGTGTATGTATGTGTATAAAATATGTATATATGGGACAAATACATATTATATATATATATTTATGTGTGTGTATATATATAACATACGTATAAAACACATATATTTATTTATTTGTCCTGGTTAAGAAATAACAACTAAAGCTTCATTTCTGTCATTTATGAGCCAGTTCAAAGTTCCTACCCTCCTCCAGTTCCGAGTGAAGTCATTCTCAGTGGTCTTGACTAAACTCTCACTCTATCCCTTGTCTTTTTCCATCAGCAGCTCTGAGGTTCGGAATAGGGTGTAAGAAGACTAAGAAAAGGAAAATGTAAGTAAACAGAGGAAAACAAATGCAGAAAAACTGGGAATAGAAAATGTTGAGGAAGCAGCAAAATTTTGTTCAGAAATAGAGTAGATACTTGAAAAAGCTAAAAGATCTTTCTTTCAACATTCACTTCCTTTCCATTTGTATGTTTTATTTTGCTAGTATTTTTAATGGACATATTCGTATTTTTTAAAAGGAGTAAAAGAAAATTTCACGAGGCTATAGAAGTAACTATGAAAAACCATACTGTAAAACTTTCATATTATACTCATTGATACACTTATTCGACTCTTTTACATATGAATGTAAGTCAGTGCAGCGGACAATATAAATTGTACCTGGTCATTTAATGTGTTAAAAGACCCATTTTAAATAGAATATCTTTGATTACCCAGTGATTGAAAACAAAAGATTAAAGGAAAAACTATTTGTGGCCTCAGAATTTTCAAAGAATCGTGTCACATGTTTTCATAAAACGTATTAATTTAGGAAAATTACAAATCATTTCTGAAAGGCCACTCCATCAAAATACAGAGAGGCATGTGCCACAGAAGACAGAAAGATCAAGCTGCATACAATATAGCTCGAAAAAGTCCAATGATCTTATTAATAACGAAAAGATGCAAAGTTGTGATTACATGAAAATTTTTCTAACCTGAAATGCTGAAATTAATTTACGACAAGTTTCGTTCTTAGAACTTCAAAGAACACTTTAAAGCTCGGTTTTATTTTTTTTCTCCTCAGGCTGAAAGTATGAAGTCAGGTCTGAATCTTGGCAACAGAGCAATACGCTTGTTAGATTTCATGTGAAATTAGGTTTCTGACAACTTTAAATGTTTTTTTCTAAAGTTTTTTAAAAAACAAGCTTCCTTTAATTGCCACATATTTTTTATGAAATAGAATTGTATAATACATCAATTCATCTTGTTCTCAATGAAAATTTATTGTACCTAATGATAATCATAATAGTTTACACTTATTGAGTGCTTTTCTGTGTCAGGCACTGTTATAAGAGTGTGGAATGTTTAGTTCACTTAATATCACAGCAACCCTATATTATAGGCCCCTGCTGTTAAACCTATTTTGCAGATAAAAATACTGAGGCTCAGAAAAGATCATGTAAGGGGGCGTAGAACTAAAGGAAGATATTTTTCTGGACGCCAAAGTTCAAGGTGGCAGAAATCACAGTGATAAACACAGTAAGCAATTGATCAGCACAATTGTTCAACTGAATATTTAACTAATAAGGATGTCATATGCTGCTCATTTCCTGCAAGGTACTTACACCTGTCAGTCTCCTTAAACTGTGTATATGAGGCACCTTAATAAAGGCTTCACATCAAGTTAAATGCGTAGAATGGTTCCATACTGTATTTCTGCTAACCATGTAACATACACACTGTTGTGAGATTGTAAGAGAAACAAAGACCCACTAAGGTTGAAAATAGAGGGGTAATAACAACCTTCACAGTTCATATGCTGTCCTCTTGGCCTTGAGAAATGTTCCAAAATGACGCATGCGGTCTTGCCTTAAGATGTGTTCACCTAAGTTTTTCTGTCACAGTGATTATGGCTAAATCAAAAATCTTTATTTTGGCTTCAGAACTTTTCCTGATCTTGGCTTAGAATTTGAGGTTGTGATGTTCAGATGAATTATATTCAAACTCCTCCATATCACAGATTAACTAAATGATTAATAGAACTTTGATGTTGCTAGAGTCTTTAAAAGAAAAGGAATGCTGAGATGTATGGAGAGGCAATATTCTCTTGAAAAGTCGCACATGCAGGGGAGAAACCTGGAAAAGCAGAATAAATGTTTTCTTTCAATAAATTTGACAAATGTTCTGTAGTTTTCTATTGTTTCTCCTTAAATGAAATGGGAAATGTGTGACTGGAATGTACACAGTGATTGAACCACTTAAAACATCTGAATGACGTAAGTCTACAAAGACTCAGAGAAGTTGCTGATCTTCTTTCACTCCAAAATATCAGCAGATGTAGCTCTCTTACTTTGGCATAGTGCCACATTTTAAATGAAAAATGTCACTAACATTTTCTTGTACATTGAATACTTTATTTTTAAAAAAAGAAATATAACATATTGGGATTAACTTCAAAAGTGATTTTTTTTTTTTCCAGGACAATGTTCCATCCTGCTGGGCTTTTCCCCTAACTACATTATAACCATTATACGTGAAATAACTGTAACCCAGACACGAGTGGATGCGTGAAAAAAAAAATTCATTGGCACGGGAATTCAGTTCTTTCTCTTATTTTTCCTTGACCTTGAGTAAATCACCTTGGTTTGCTAGCTTATTAAAACAAACCAACAAATAAGAAACAACAAAAAACCCAACAGTGATTTTCATTATAGATCTTCTTAGGAATGTCAAGATGTTTATTACAATGAAGAGGAAGTATTTCCATGATCACAAGTTGCACTGGCATGGACAATATCCGATTTGCAACTTTTGTAAAAAAAGAATTTGTTAGGTACTATTTTCTTTTAAGTTTTTAAAAAGAAATATGTTGAGGACAAAATACCTCTCTGAATTATCCTTGAGTTTCCATAGGGCCTGCCAAACTATTGTTCACATACTGAGTTTCCAACAAATATGCTTTGAATCATGCTAGTGAAAGCCATTACTTTCATTGACTGTGAATAGAGTACAGAGACTCTAAAAGGTCTTTAGAAATAAAATTGCAAGACATATGGATTTCAGATTACCATTCAGATACCTACTATCATAAATAATGCGTCTCTCATACTTTTCCACATCAGATTGAAGAACCAAGCATATAGTTTCCGGAACAATATTTGTCACCTTTTAAAAAATTTTAATAGGTATGTAAATGAATATTAAATATACATATATATATTTTTTGTTTTAGAAGAGTTTAGATTTTTCGTTTGTTTGTTTTGAGACGGAGTCTCGCTCTGTCACCAGGCTGGAGTGCAGTGCCACGATCTCGGCTCACTGCAAACTCTGCCTCCCCAGTTCAAGCGATTCCCCTGCCTCAGCCTCCCATGTAGCTAGGATTACAAGTGCACACCACCACGCCCAGCTGTTTTTGTATTTTTAGTAGAGACGAGGTTTCACTATGTTGGCCAGGATGGTCTTGATCTCCTGACCTCGTGATCCACCTGCCAAAGCCTCCCAAAGTGCTGGGACTACAGGCATAAGCCACTGTGCCCGGCCTAGAAAAGTTTAGATTTAAATGGTAGGGTAGAGATCCCCATACACCCCATACTCAGCTTCTCTTATTGTTAACACTTTATATTAGTTTGGTACATTTTGTTACAATTAAGGAACCAATATTGATAAATCATTGCTAACTAAAATTTACATATGATTTAGCTTCCTTAGTTTTCGCTGATGTCCATTTTCTGTTCCAGGTCTCCATCCAGGACATCATTACATTTAATTGTGCATTTCCTTAGGCTCCTCTTGACTGTGGTCATTTCTCAGACTTTCTGTTTTTAATGACCTTGAGAGTTTTGAGAAATCCTGGTCAGGCATTTTTCTAGAAAGTCTTTTAATTATAATTTCATTATGGGTTGTTAGGAGGAAGGCTGCAGAGGTAAAGCATGCTTCTCATCACATTTTTCAAGAGTATATATTATCAGTATGACATATCACTGTTGATGTTAACCTTCATCAGTCACTGAGATAGAGTTTAATCTGCTTTCTCCCCTGTAAAGTTACTGTTTTTCCCCTTTTCCATATCCTACTCTTTGAAGGAAATCATTATGTGCGACTCACTTAAAAAGGGGGGACTTAAGCCCCACCTCCTTGAAGACACAGTATCTACATGTGTAAATAAATTAATCGAAATACTTCTTCACAGGCAATCTATTCAAACATTTACATATATCAGTTCAGATTCATAGGTACCTATTTTATACTTTGGGCTACAATCCAATACTTCTTTATTTATTTACTTGCTAAAATTGTTTTGTGCCAATTTCTTGGGATAATACAGATAATAATTTTGACCTGTGAAAAAAACAGAATTTAATTTTTCCCTTCCTATCCTGTATATTTTTTTCCTGTCTTTTGCACTAGCTAGAAATTCTAGTATGATGCTATATAGGAATGGGATTAGAAGACATCCTTGCTTTGTTTTTGCATTTAGATAGAAAGCATCTAGCCTCTCACTATTAAGTACGTTCTTAGCTATAGGTTTTATTAAGATGCTTTTCACCAAGTTGAGAAAGTTCCCTTATATGCTTTGTTTGCTAATAATTTTTTCATGAATGGTGTTGGATTTGTCTTATAAAGCTTTTTCTGTATCTATTGATATGATCACTTGATTTTTCTTTATTAGGTCACTGATGTGATGAAATACTTGAATGGATTTTTGAATATTGAACTAGCCTTGCATATCTGAAATAAATCCCACTGGGTTGTGCTATGTAATTTTTTGATGCATTACTAGGTTTCATATTGCTAAGATTATTACATCTATGCTTTTGAGAAATATTGGCTGGTAATTTTCCTTTACTGTATGTCTTTATCGTTTTTCATATTAGGGTATTGTTGGCTTTATATAATGAATTAGAAAGTATTCCCCAAGTTTCCACTTTCTGGAAGATATGATGAAGAATTGGTGTCATTTTTATTTCTTAAATATTACATAGAATTTGTCAGTGAAATAATTCACCTTGTCATTTTTGTTTTGAAGGTTATTCGTTATTGATTTGATTAGTAGGTGTCAGCCTATTTAGCCTAGTTGTTTCTCCTTGTGTGAGTTTTGGTGATTTGTGTCTTTCAAGAAATTGGTCAACTTAATCTAAATTATATTTGTGGACCTAAGCTTGTTAATAATGTTTCTTTATTATATATTTTTAAATTTTATATTTATTTTTTATTTTTTAATTTAATTTAATTTAATTTAAAGTTCTGGGATACATGTGCAGGATATACAGGTTTGTTACATAGGTAAACATGTACCATGGTGGTTTGCTGCACCTATCAACCCATCACCGAGGTATTAAGCCCCACGTGCATTTGCTATTTATCTTGATGCACTCCTTCCCATATTTCTTTATTATATTTTTATGTTCATGGGACCCATAATGCCCACCTTTCTTTCATTTCTGATATTGCCCATTTTTTCAACTCTTTTTTTATGGTTAGCCTGGCAAGAGGTTTGTCAATATTATTTTATTTTATTTATCTCATTCATCTTTTCAAACAATCAGTTTTTCGGTGTTGACTTTTTTCTCTATTGTTTTCCTTCGCTCAATTTCATCTCTAATTTTTCTTATTTATTTTATTTTATTTTATTTTATGATAAAATAAAGCATGACTCTTCCTTTTCTAGTTTCCTAAGGTGGGAGTTTAAGATGAATATTAAATCTTCTTTCATTTCTAAAATATGCATTTAATCCTTTAAACTTCCCTGTAAGCACTACTTTTTTTTCATCCCACAGATTTTGATAAAAGTATTTTCATTTTAATTTTGTTAAAATTATTTTTAGATTTCTGGCTAGGCACAGTGGCTCACACCTGTAATCACAGCACTTTGGGAGGCCAAAGCAGGAGGATCACTTGAGGTCAGGAGTTTGAGACCAGCCTGGCCAACATGGTGAAACACTGACTCAACTAAAAAAATACCAAAAAAAAAAAATTAGCCTGGCGTGGTGGCACTTGCCTGTAATCCCAGTTACTCGGGAGGCTGAGGCAGGAGAATTGCTTCAACCTGGCAGGCGGAGGTTACAGTGAGCCAAGATCATACCACTGCACTCCAGCTTGGGTGACAGAGGGAGACTTTGTCTAAAAATAAAATTATATATATTATTTTAAAATTTCTCTCTTGAAATTTCTTTTTGACCAATGTGATACTTACTGGTGTGGTTAATCTCCAAATATTTGGATATATTCAAACTATATTTCTGTTATTTCTTTTTAGTTTAATTCTATTGTGGTCTGACAGCATAGACTGTTGGAGTTCCACTATTTTGAATTATGTAAGGTATGTTTTAAGGCCCAGATGCAGTCTATTTTGGTAAATGTTCCACATGAGATAGAGAAGAATATGAATTCTCCTGGTATTGAGTGGAGCACTATACAAATGTCAATTAGATTAAGAAGGTTGATGACAATGTTTATGTCAACTTTAGTCTGACTGATTATCTACCTGCTGGGTCTATCAATTATTGATAGAGGCATGCTGCAGTCTCTAACTATTATAGTGGATTTGTCTATTTCTCCTATCAGTTCTGTCTGCTTTTACTTCACATATTTTGATGCCCTGTTGTTAGATGTGTACATCTAAAATAGACAAATCCACTATTAGAGATGTCAGCATGCCTCTATCAATAATTGACAGACCAAGCAGGCAGATAATCAGTCAGACTAGTGTTAGGATTGTTATGCCTTCTTGGAAAATTGACTCCTTTATCATTGTATAATATCCCCTTTTCCCCAGGATGATTTTCCTGGTCCTGAAATATGTTTTCTCTGAAATTAATATATTTGTAATCTTTCTATAATTTTTCTCATAGAGAGTTAATGTCTTGAAACTCTCTTAGCAGTAACCCACCGTTAGTATAGCAGAACTCTATTTGTTATATGGAAAAGTATGGAGGAATGAAAGTTTTGTACATTTTCCTCAATTTCAGTCTTTTACTTTGCTTATTCTTGACCTGTGACCTTCAAATCTAGTTCTTAGCTTTTGTTTTCCCTTTTACCTGAGACAGGACAGCTCAAGGGAGCTGTGTGGGAGAAATGCCTTTCCCCAGGTAAGACAAGGCTCTGATAAGGGTTTTGTCCCCCTTTGGGGAATGGGCTTTTATTGTTGAGAATGCTTTTCTTGTTTCAATAGGAGTATTCATCTGTTCCCATTGCCAGAGACACAGGAGATTTTTTTTTTTTTACTGTGACAATCTGATGGGGTTCCTGAAAGTAAAACCCATGAAAATCTGAA
Source organism: Homo sapiens (assembly GCF_000001405.40). Lineage (NCBI taxonomy): Eukaryota > Metazoa > Chordata > Mammalia > Primates > Hominidae > Homo > Homo sapiens. The sequence goes on from NC_000002.12 coordinate 103,332,523, forward strand.
AACCCCTGAGACTGAAGCTCCAGGAGTTGTTCACTGTCATGCTAGGACATACTCAGCCTTCAGCTATTTGTCAAAATTACCATTTATAAGCTTCTACTAGTTTATGTCTCAAGCAGCTTCTCCTCCAAGTAAATAGATCTTAGCTGCAACTCTAGATTTGCCTGTCTACCCAGATTTCGAGTGATGGTTTGCTCGTGCTTCTCCAATGCATGCAAGAAAAATTGTTGAGTTTCTATGTGTTTTTCCTGTAAGAATTGAAGTGACAATTACCCAGGTCTTTACATTTAGGATTGAAACAGAAAGTCTTGCCACTGTCTTGATATATCTTTTTTCATTCTTACCTACTTTATATTCAAGAGTTAAAAACATAACCTTTCTTCTCTTCTTGGAGGGTGTATACATACAATCATTCAGTCTGACTTATTTAAATGAATTACTGATTTGGAAGAATTTTTTTGTTAAATTATATTTTTATTAAAATATCCATGTTCTTGAACATTCTGTTAACACTATGTTACAGACTTATGTCCAGACATATTCAACATTTTTATGAAAAAACTATTAGTAAGTTCTGAGTCAACTCTTCATCAGAAATAATTATGTGATAAACCATTTCAAAGACATAAGGTTATTGACAGAAAGGAATATACCTAATTTATTCCCTATATAAGCAAATGTAACCATAGTCTTAAAAAAAGGCACTTAAATATTCTGATTCTTTTGTGTGCTGGGGCATGAGTTTTCTTCCTCTCTAGGACATAAGAGGAAGCACGTCTTTAAAGACTGATGTGCTGGATCCTGCACAAGACTCTCTTTCTTCAAATAAAATTTCTTAGTTTTACATATTGTGTCAAGAGTGATACTTAAGATTTTACTATCATTATACTTTAAGTTTTAGGGTACATTGTGCACATGTACCCTAAAACTTAAAGTATAATAATAATAAAATTTTAAAAAAAAAGATTATGCCTCTGGAAGTTTTATGCTTTGTAAAGTTACAAAATGCAGAATAATCTCATAATGAGTAGACAGCAGTCATAGAGGTTCTATCAGTCTAACTTATGTATGTCTTTTCTCCTGAGGAGAGAGTGAATGGAATAAAAAGGAAAAACAATGGTAAGAAAACATCCATTTTTGTTGTTGTTGTTATCATACAATTTTAAAGTTCCTTTCCCTTTCCTGCATACAAAAAAAGGAAATTACAAATTAGATACAGCATGAGAAAAGTATTTTATGACATTTACATAGTGTTTTTAATGTCTCTGTTTTACAGAAATATACATAAAAATCATTAATATTTTACAACCATTTTAGTAAAGCATTGAAGCCAAAGGCAAGTCCTGTTTCCTATATTCACCGACATCAGAGCAAAAAGTATTCCTAAACTGTAGCATGCAACTTAAATTAATTCAAGAGTGAAACTAGACTACCTTTTTCCAGGATATTCTTGAGAGGTTCTCACTTTGTCTCTGTTCCACCCACATTGGCATATTTAACCTGTGTTATAAAAGCTACAAATGGTTACAGTTTGAAAATTTTCTTGCAAAAATTACAACTACTTTTGAGTAGACTTTTAATGTAACTTTTATTTGAAATAGTTTAAGATTCAGGAGCAGTTGCAAAGTACAAAGAACCTCTCCCAATGTACATATATCAGATAGTAGTGTCACAACCAAGATATTGATGTTGATTCTAGTAGACTTTTATAAAAGGAGAATATGTACTTATTCCAGCTCACAAAAAGCAATTCATCCATTATGAATCTTTATACTCTATATGTCTAGGTGATGTGGTAGAAATCCTGGATTAAAAATAAGAAGATAAGTAGAGCAACTGAAAACCTAAGGAAGAAAAAAAAGAAGAAGACGATGGTAACTAGACAACTCTCACTGTCTCATAACTCTATATGCCAAGATTGTTTCATATCCCAGGTACAGGTAAGTTCTTTCTTCCTCCTTTCACTTTTCCCTTTCTCAGGGAGCTCTCTTAAGGAACATCCAGGAAAATGGGTCAGGCTAATGACTTCTCAGACCTGTGCACTGAGGAGTAAGAACAGCCAGAAGCACGTACCAAACCTGCACATGTACCCTCTGAGTCTATAATACTAATTGTAAAAGATTGCCAGAAGAACAAAGCCATATATGTTTAGTGAGCATAAATAAAGTATTTCATGAGAACTAAGAATATTGATATGGCTCTGATGAGTGGAGGAACACCAGGGCTCTTGTCTTGCACCAAATTGGTTAAAACCACACAGACACACATGGGGTGGGTTTAAGGGGCGGAGAGTTTGATAGGCGACTTGTAAGAAGGAAGAAGATCCTCCATACAGAGACAGAGGGAGGGGACTCCAAAGCTGAGAGAGGAAACCCCTGAGTACCCCAGAAACCAGCCAGTTATATGAGGAGGCTGGTGGATGCAGTGTCTGATTTGCATAGCACTCAGGGGATTAGTTTGACCAGGTGTGTCATTCACATAGCCCACGACAAAACTGGCCCTTCCACCTTAGCCTTTTAATATGCAAATGCAGGGTGCCATGATATTACACAAATGTGAGGATACACCATATGTTGTAATTAAAATTTTCAGATAATTCTTTTTAATAAATTTTGCCCCTATCAAGTCATACCTTTTTATTACCTCTAAGTATGATTTTTCACTTTTTAACTGATAAAGTAACTACTTCATGAGAAGTAGTCAGATTTATTTTATTGAAGTGAGGGTGCTCAGGATTCTAGGGTAATTTCTTCACTATTTTTTGTGGATCAAATACCAACAATTCCATATGATTAAATGAGTTAAAACTAGAAACATGAATCATGAAATCTAGATTTCTAAGTGGAAATTCATTTCAGAAGAATTTTTGCCCTTTTAATCTCTGGTGACTTTTTATCTTTAAAAACACAAAATTAAGATATTATTGGCAATATTGAAAGAAATCACTTTGGTGGTGCTCTGGTAATACATTTTCTGATACTGCTAAATCCTGCTCAGTGTGAGTCACTCTCATGCTATGCAGAAGCTACAATGTTAAAATTGGTTCTCTAGGTAATAGCATTTCTGACAAATTAATAATGTGACGCTTTGCTCAGCCCATGAGATTTTTCATTACATATTCCCCAACTGTTATTTACAATACGATGACAACTTGTAATTTGTCAAGAGGTAAAGAACAGCAGGAGTAGCTTTAAGAGATGAACATAAATGAATCTCCATCATAAGAGGGGTGGTCAATGGTCATTTGGAAAATTCACAGGTCATTGCTTTTTTCTCCCTTCTCCCTCACGCTTCAGTCCTCGCTTGTTACTTCTCTATACATAGACTAGAGCAAAGGCCAAATATAGGTGTGGGTAAACAAGACTCTTCATGCCTTGGTATAATCACCAAAATCTCTTGAAAAAAGAAATTATGGTAGCTTTCTCAAAGTTAGCCCTCTGTACTATACCACAGAGGAACAACCAGCTGAAACACAGGCTTGCAAATGATCAATTGCCCAAAATAAATTTCATGATTTATGTGATTTCTCTCTAGTGAGTAGTCCAAGAAGCCAATTTCATTTTTCTTCCTACTTGGTGCTCCCATTGAGAAGAGGAATAGTATTTTCAAAATAATTTATTTGGAAGGTTGATGATATGAATGACTGGACAGAGCTGGAAGCACAGTATTCAAATCTGCCACTACCTGCTGTGGGATCATTAAGGACTTTTCAATATTTCAGTATATATTGTGTAATTAATTAGCCATGATGTGAAACTGGAAATAGAAATGCCAGCAGAAGAGGGGGAAATTCCAAATAGTTATTATGCAGGAAAAGGCAAAAACAAATTGGAATTGAGATAGGAAAAAATTGGAGTTGATATGAAAGAAGATAGGATTAAAAGCAAGGTTAGTCCTGGAATTAGCAGAAAGCAAAGGATATTTGAAAGAAAAGCTAAAATAAAGGCAGAAGTAATGAAAGAAGAATGAGAGCTTTAAAAGATATAAAGAAAAAAATGGAAGCAGCACAGTAGAAATTTATGGTTTACAGCTTATAATAAAAGCTTATGAGTAAAATCAAAGAAAGCAAAGTGTTTTGTTTCTGTTTTTGCTTTCAAATAACTTTGAATGCTACTCTAATACAGGTTTTTCAATCCTAGGCCTAGGTATAAAAAGACAATGTAAAAATCAGTTGTCAAAATCTAGGAGATGTTTCTACTAAATGCCAAGCATGTGAAACCACTCGTTCTGAAAATGTAAACTGCTAATCCACCCATGCTCTGCTGCCTAAGTCACAGCTAGCTTGCCCATCTCAAAGTAAGAAGGAAGGTATTTTATTGATTCTATGTCTTCTTCCAGGTCTCTTGTTCAAAAAAATCTTGGTCTTACTAGCCAAAGCAATCTATTAAATATTCAGTGCAATCCCTATCAAAATACAGATGACATTTCTCACAGAAATAAAAAATAATCCTAAAATTTATACAGAATCACAGAAGACCCAGAATAGCCAAAACAATCTTGAGCAAAAAGAATAAAGCTGGAGGCATTTTATTATCTGACTTCAAGTTATAATACAAAGCCATAGTAACCAAAACAGCATGTACTGGCATAAAAACAGACACATAGACCAATGGAACAGAATAGACAACCCAGAAAAAAATGCATGCATTTATACTGAACTCATTTTTGATGCAGGTACCAAGAACATACAATGGGGAAAGGGCAAACCCTTCAGTAAATCATGCTGAAAGAACTGAATACCCATATGCAGAAAAATGAAACTAGACCCGTATCTCTGGCCATATACAGAAATCAAATAAAAATGGATTAAATACTAAATCTAAAACCTGAAACTTACAGAATGGCGAGGAGAAAACATTGGGGAAACATTCTAATACATTGGTCTGGGTAAAGATTTTATGCCTAAGACCTCACAAGTACAGACAAACCAAAGCAAAAATGGACAAATGGGGTCACATAAAGCTAAGAAGCTTCTGTGCAGCAAAAGAAACAATAAACAAAGTGAAAGGAAAACCCACAGAATGGGAGAAAATATTAGCAAACTACCCATCTGACAAAGGATTGACAACCAGAATATATGAGAAACTCAAACAACTCAATAGTAAAAAGACCAAATAATCCAATTTAAAAATGAGCAAATGATCTGAATAGGCATTTCTCAAAAGAAGGCTACAGATGGCCAACAGGTATATAAAAAAGTGTTTGGCATAACTAATCATCAGATAAATGCAAATCCAGACTACAATGAGATACCATCTCATCCAAGTTAAAATGGCTCTATCCAAAAGACAGGCAGTGACAAATGCTGGCAAGGATGTGGAGATAGGGAAAACCTTTTACACTGTTGGTGGGAATGTAAATTAGTACAGCCACTATGGAAAACAGTGTGGAGGTTTCCGAAACTAAAAACAGAACTACCACATGCTTCAGCAATCTTGTTGCTGGGTATATATCCAAAAGAAAGAAAATCAGTATATCAAAGAGATATCTGGACTCTCATGTTTATTGCAGCACTATTCACAATAGCCAAGGTATGGAATCAAGCTGCATGTCCATCAATAAATGAATGTATAAAGAAAATGTGGTATGTAAATTTGAAATGAAAAGAATATGTAATTCACTATGGAATATTATTTAGCCATAAAAAGAATGAAATCCTGTCATTCACAACAACATGGATGGAACTGGAAATAATTATGTTACATGAAATAAGCCAGGTGTAGAAAGACTAATATTGCATGTTCTCACCCATATGTGGGAGCTACAAATATTGAACTCACGGAGACAGACAGTAGAATGATGGTTATAGATAGTAGAATGATGGTTGCCAGAGGCTGGGAAGGATAATAGGGGGAAGGAGGATAAATGGGGGGTGCTTAATAGCTACAAAAATACAATTAGATAGAAGAAATAAGGTCTAGTGTTTAGTAGAACACTAGGGTGTTGTTAACTATAGTCACAATAGGGTGACTATAGTTAACAGTAATTTATTGTATATTTCAAAATAACTAGAAGAATGAAATTGGAATGTTCCTAATACAAAGAAATAAATGCTTAAGGTGAGTGATATGTCAATTACCCGGATTTGATCATTACATATTACACATGCTAGTACCAAAATATCACACGTATCCCATAAATATCTACAGCTGTTATGTATCCATAATACTTAAAAAATTCTAAAAAGTCTGTCTCTCTAAATAACATATTAAATATCTTCGTGTGACTTGAGTGTTGCTTTTCTAGTCAGAGTGCTATGGAAATTTCTAATTTCATCTGTAACTCCCTGGTGGTAAAAGAGAGTAAAAAACATTTTCAAATGGCAGCAACTGAGTGTTTGGGAGAGTGGATATTTGGGTGGGCATGGGAGACCAGCACTGGTACATTGAATCTAGGAATGCATATTTCACGCACACACACACACACACACACACACACACACTAAATGGTTAAGGATAAGTGCAAGAGAATGAAGAGGAAGATATTTGAAAGTGATACATTCTGGGTATTACACAATAATTTTCTATTCTTTATTCTGACTTCAATGTGTCAGAAATCAAGGTAGTGGGTTAGAAGATGGGCTATTTAAGAATAAGGCAGCTACAAAAAATAGAAGCCTGATTAATGCAGTGAACTTGTCCAGAGGCTGGAAAATTAACCTGCTATTCATAGACTGATCTGAGGAGGGGAATCCAGAAAAATATGAGCAGATTGAGAATTCAGATAGGAATAATTTATACAACAGGTCTGTTGGCTATGTCTGGATAGATTTTACTTTATTCAAGCCTGGTAGACAAAATAACATAACTGTAGCTTGTAAAAACATTGTAAAATAAGCAAATCATACTGAGAAGTTAAAGAAAGAAAAGATCAGTGGAAATAATTTAGCATGGAAACTAGAGAAAATAATAAGATCAATAATAATGTGATAGCAATAAATCATGTTGATATCTTCAGTAGCATGCAAAAAAAGCAGAACCTCGGTAAAACAAGAGCAGAAATCTGTGAACCGATTTAATTGAAGAGGAAAAGTTAATAATCTGAGATGAAAAGAAGATACCTGAGTAAAAGATCACTAGGAAACTAAAAAGTCAAGATGAAAATGAAAATCTATGCTGGAATCCTGAGGAGCAGAACTGGCACTGTGGACAGCTGAATCTTAAATGCAGAGGACATGTGAGAATTTTCTACACAAAGCAGATGTAAGCAAGTTAAAGATGTGGGGAAGAGGGAATGAAAGTTTGCATGTGTTCCTAAAGAAAAAAAAAAGTTACAACAGAAGCACAAGCAATTCTCAAAGCAAGAAAGTTTTTCCCAAATTAAAAATATTACCCAAGAATAGAAGTTAAGTAAAATTATATAGACCATACAAACAAAAAAGACAAAATAATTCTCAATGAACTAAATAATTTTTAATTAACAAAACAAACGTAAAACAGATTACTTGGAATGGCATAACAGTTATGATAATCTTAGACTTCTCTGAAACATTCTAGTCAGAAGATAATTAAAATAAATCCTTTAAGTTTTTGTAGAAAAATTGTGACATACACTGTTTGATATGCAATTTGTATGGTATATAAACCTAACATTTCATGAGCACAAAAAGTTTATCAGTAAAGAAAACTGAAAATATTTTCAAAAAGTTTGATTGCTCAGGAAGTGTACCATAAACCATCTTTCTTAAAAAATGTGTTCTCTTTCTGTTCTCATGAAATTTACATCTTGAATCCTTCCATATATTTCTACATCAACATTCCATTTTTACCAAGTTATTTCTACAGCATGAACATATACTACAGTCTTTGGTTAAACTATATGGAACTGCTGCTATTCGGCTCTTTTTGACATATAAGAAGGTCAAGCTGAAATTTATACAGAATTGAATATATGAAATTTATTATACCACCTTGATGAATTTTTGTTATATTAGTTTACTCTATCAGTCAGGGTTCTCTGGAGAAACAAAACCAATGGGAGATAACTACATCTCTATCTATCTGTCTGTCTATCTATCTGTCTATCTATCTATCTATCTATCTATCTATCTATCTATCTATTTATCTATCTGAAGGGATTAGAAGGAATTGGCTCATACAATTATGAGGCTGAGAATTCTTATGATCTGCTGTCTGTGAACTGGAGACCTGAGAAAAGCCAGTGGCGTAATTCAATCAGATTCTGAAGGCCTGAAGAAGCAAGAGAGACAATCTGGTTTAGATCTCAGTCAGAGGGCAGGAGAACCCCATGCTTCAGTTCAAATGGTAGGCCTAAGAAAAGGGGAGGTTTTTCTCCTTTCTCTGCCTTTTGTTCTATTTAGGCCCTCAACAGATTGGATAATGCGCACCCATATTGGGGAGTGACACCATCTTCACTGAGTCAACCGATTCAAATACTAATTTCACCACTGGGCATCCCATGGCATTAACCATCATATTTGTTTTGTCAGCTTTCATCCGTATAATCTTTTTATTTCAATCAACTTCCTCTTTTTACTTAAAGAAGTTCAGTTTCATCCTCAGCAATAATCTCCAGGATGTTATGGGTTTCATTTGCTGCTTACGCTATTTTTTTTTCGAATACAGTACCACTTGCCAGCTTCTCAGAATAGCAGCAGACATTCCATACTGGCTCTATGAAAACTGGCAGATGCTGGGGCCTGCTGAGTGCTGGCCGTTGGACTCTCTTGCTGTACAGCCTGCTCTGATGCTAGCCCCAGGTGAGGGAACCCTTATCAATGAGGGGCTGTGTTCCTTTCCAATCTTTCCCAGCTAGTAGTGCTTGTTATTGTCATTTCATTATTTATGTATTTATTTATTATTAGTTGATTCCATTATAATTATTCATCAATAAACTTGAATATAAAAATCAAGTGGGTGATTGTTTTTATAAAAATTAAGTTGACTTCTCTGGAAAGATTCAATAAAGGTCCTTCATAAAATACCCTGGTAAATTTGGTGTGGGTGAGAAAACTGTAAAATCGTGGAGAAAAAATGCAAAAGCTCTAGGATTCTGCCCTCAGATTGCTTGGCAGGTGTCTTTCAAGTCTTATCCTTTTTATTTCTTCTTTCTTTCCTTTGCTCTACTGTATTTGAACCTCAGATACAGGTACCATATTTAATCATTCTCTTGATTTAATCATACACATTGAAGATTCCAGGACTGGGTTTGCTCTAGTCTCTCTTAACAGAGAGAACTAGCCCATATATATGTGAATTCCAATCATCGTAAACACATATGTCTATAACTACTTGTAAAATATATATTTATTTGCATCTATATTGAGCAAACGTGAGTTTATACTGATGTTCCCAAATCTAATCTAGTACCACATGGTTCATTCTAGCTTTCGCCCCTGGCTTACCTGTTCTATCGTAGCCTGACAGCGAGGAACTGGCTCCCCGTCATCCATCCCATTTTATTTGTTCAATGCCAGTTTACATGTGCAGTGGTTTTAAAATCGTTAACTCAGATCTTTGTGGGGAACAACTTCACCAACTAAAGTACATTGATTATGTATAGTGTCCTTCGTTTATAGTCTTAGTCTCTACTCATTTCTAAAACTACTTAGGTCTGGCGGGGCACGATGGCTCACGCCTGTAATCCCAGCACTTTGTGAGGCCGAGGCGGGCGGATCATGAGGTCAGGAGATCGAGACCATCCTGGCTAACATGGTGATAACCCGTCTCTACTAAAAATACAAAACATTAGCCAGGCATGGTGGTGTGCGCCTGTAGTCCCAGCTACTCGGGAGGCTGAGGCAGGAGAATGGAGTGAACCCGGGAGGCGGAGCTTGCAGTGAGCCCAGACGCACCACTGCACTCCAGCCTGGGAGACAGAGCCAGACTCCGTCTCAAAAAAATAAATAAATAAAAATTAAAAAAATAAAATTACTTAGGTCTTTAATTTCTTTTACCAAAGTTTTGTAATTTTTCATGTATATGTATATATTCTGAATGCATTATGTTAGATTTATACATAAGTATTTCTTTAATACTTTTGGAGTTAAAGAAGTGTTTATTGTGTTTTATTTTCAATATCCAAATTCTAATATTCATTGCTGGTATATAGAAAACCAGTTCATACTTGTATATTCACCTTTTATCTTGTGACCTTGCTCCCTTGTTTGTAGCACATTTTTTATTCTTTGGGGTTTTCTACCCAGGCAAACAAATACAGTTTTTTCCTTCTTCTCAAGCTGTGGATTTCTTATGTCTTTATATATTTATTTATTTTGTTTTATTGTCCTCCCTATGACTTCTAGTAAAATGTTGAGTGGAAGTGGTGAAAGAAGACATTCTTGTCTTGTTCCCGATCTTGGAGGAGAAGCAGCCTATTTCTTACTATTATTTATGTTTGCTATAGGAGCTTTTTGTAGATGTCCCTTATCAAGTTGAACAAGATACCCTCTATTCTTAGTATTCTGAGAGTTTTTAATTGTGAATGGGTGTTGGATTTTGTCAAATGTTTTTACTACACCTAGTCATAGGATCATATGATTATTCTTCGTTGGCCTGTTGGTGTGGTAAATTACATACATTGATTTTCAAATGTTGATCTCGGCTCACTGAAACCTCTGCCTCCTGAGTTCAAGCAATTCTCGTGCCTCAGCCCTCTGAGTAGCTGGAATTACAGGCGCAGGCCACCATGACTGGCTAATTTTTGTATTTTTAGTAGAGATGTGGTTTCACCATGTTGGCCAGTCTGGTTTCAAACTCCTTACCTTAAGTTATCTGCTGTTCTCGGCCTCCCAAAGTGCTGGGATTAAAGGCATGAGCCATTGTGCCCGATCAAATGTAGGTCTTTTAAAATGTGCTGGTAAGTATTCCTTCCTCTTTTACTGTTTTTCAAAGATATTGTATAGAATTTATATTATTTCTTTAAGTGTTTGGTAGAATTTACCTGAGAAAACCCCTGGACATGGTGGGTTTTATTTGTTTTGTTTTTAGATTTCGTTTTTGTTGTTGTGGTGGTGGTTTTTTTTTTTTTTTTTTTTTGAGACAGGGTCTTGCTTTGTCACCCAGGCTGGAGTGCAGTGGCACGATCTCGGCTCACTGCAACCTCCGCCTCCTGGGTTCAAGCAATTCTTTTGCCTCAGCTTCCCAAGTAACTGGGACTACAGGTGCACGTGCCACCACACCCGGCTAAGTTTTGTATTTTTAGTACAGACAGGGTTTCACAATATTGGCCATGCTGGTCTAGAACTCCTGACATCATGATCCGCCCACCTCGCCCTCCCAAAGTGCTGGGATTACAAGCGTAAGCCACCGTGCCCGGTTTTGTCTTTTGTTTTTAACTACTAATTTAAAATCATTAATAGATGTAAGACTACTCTTGTTTTCTATTTCCCTTTTAATTAATTTTAGTAGTTAGTATCTTTCAAAAAACTGATAGTTGCATCTAAGTTAATAGGTTTGTGGTGCAAAGTTGTCTGTAATAATTCACTGATTATTGAGCCAGGGGATCAATAACCTCTATACTGATTATGAATTCTATGTTTTTTTCTTGGTTAGCCTGGAAAGAAGTTTATCAAATTTATTAATCTTGTCAAAGAAATAGCTTTCAGCTTTGTTGATTTTCACCAGTTTTTTTGTTTGTTTTCAGTTTTATTAGTTCCCGCTCTAATATTAATAATTTTCTTCTTTCTGGTTGGCTTAATAAAAATTACCTAATTTTTCTGCTTCATTTAATTTGGCTTTCTATAGGCTTAATTTGTTCTTAATCTAATTTCCTTACAGGGAAACATATGTTATTAATTTCGGATTTTTTTTCTATAATGTGCATTTTAGCACTATGAATTTTCCTCTAAATACTGTTTTCACTTCATCCTCAAACCATAAGTTGTATTTTAATTTTTATTTAGTTAAAATATTTTGTAATTTATCTTAAGACTTCTTTAATCCATAATTATTTTAAAGTGAATAATTTCCACATATTTTCAAAAATTTAGATATATTTTTTGTTATTAATTTCTAGCTTAATTCTCTTGCAGCCTCATAATATACTTTGTATGATTTTTATTCTTTTAAGTTTATTATAATGTATTTTATGGTCCAGAATGTGATCTATTTTAGTGACTGTTCCATGTGTATTTTACTGTTGTTGGACAGAGCATTCTAAAAAGGTCAATTTGATCACATTGTTTGCTATTGCTGTTCAGGGTATTTGTTCTTACTACCTGCTTGCTCTAGTAATTAAGGAGAGATGTTGGAGACTCAAAGTGTATTAGTGGATTTGACTGTTTTTCCTTGTAGTTCTTTCAATTTTCTTTTTATGTGTTGATATTTTATGTTGTTAGGTGTATATGGTAAGTCCATATTTAGTGAAGTCCACAGGTTCTTGGAAACTGCAACACAACATAGAGCAGGTCTCCACATAATATCATTTCCATCAATGTCATTTTGCTATAACATTGATGAGGGGAAAAAATGGTTTTGTTATCTATCATTTCATTTAAAATAGTGGTTTCCCAGAACCTATGGATGGCATTAACTGAGGACTTATTGTACATGTTTAGGATTGTATGTCATGGAGTATTGACACTTTTGTTATTCTGTAATGCCCCTCTTGATCCCTGATGATTTTTCTTTGTGTGATGTCTACTTGTTGGAATATAGCTATTGATCGATGTCATCATGGTATATTTTTCTCCATCTCTTTACTTTTAACCTATCTGAGTCTTCATATTTAAAGGAGTTTCTTAGAGACAGCATATGGTTGGATTTTATTGTTCTTGTTTTAAATAAATATGATAAGCTCCTTCAAATGTTATCTTAAAACCACTTACACTTCATGGCTTATAATCACTTATAGTGATTATAAATATAACTGGATTAAAATCTACCATCTATGTAAGTATTCTCTATTGATTTCATTTGTTCTTTTCTTTTTTTCTGCCTTTTGTGCTTTTAATTGATTATATAATTCTATATTATCTACTGTGTTACTAATTTTTTAAAATTGTTCATTGTTTGTCCTACCATTTATAAATATTTTTAAATGTTAAATATTAAATGTCAAATCCACCTGTCAACTGACACTATAGTGCTTAATATTTAGTACAGTTACCTTATAACAGAATATTCCTAATATTTCTATCCCTTCTGGTGATGCTTTCATTTCTCTTACCCAAATTCTATAATTACCCAGTAAATTATTATTATTGTTTAAAAATTATCTTTTATATCAATTATGAATAATGAAATAAAATATTTTTATATCTTAACTTATTCCTTCTCAGCTGCCCTTCCTTTTGTGACACACAGCCATGCTTTTGGCCTATATTATTTTGTTTCTGCTTAAATAACTGTTTTTAACGTTATCTAAAGAACAAGTCTACTGGCAATTAATTAATTCCTTCAGTTGCATTTGTCTGAGAAAATATTTACTTCTTCACTTTTGAATATTCATTTTACTGAATATAGAATTCTAGGTTTGTAGGGTTTTTTTTCCTTCTGTTATTTAAATATTTCACATCACTCTCTTCTTGTTTGAATAATTTCTGAAGAAAAGCCTCATGTAAGACTTATCCCTGTTCTTGTATAGGTAAGTTGTTTTTCTCTCTCTTCAAGATTTTAGCTTTGCCTTTAGTTTTCTGAAGTTTAAATATGATAACTTAGGTTGGTTTTGTTTTTATGTTTTTGGTTTGTTTGTTTCATATTTAACATCTTTGTTTTCTGAGCTTTCTAGCTCTGTGGTTTGCTACCTGTCATTAAAATTGAAGAGTTTTTTAAACTATCATTACTTCAAATATTTCTTCAGTTTTATTCCCTCTTTCTTCTTCTTCTGGTATGCTTCTCCTCCTTATGGTTTCTGAAGTTTTGATTGACTTATTTTCTATTGCACTGATTCTTTTCCTCAACTGTGTTAACTCTACTAATTAATGCATTGGAGTCATTCTTATCTTCAGCTACCTGGTTTTTAATTTGTAGCACTTTCTTTTGGTTCTTTCTGATAGTTTCCATCTCTGCTGATACTGCCCTTCTAGCCTTGCATATTGCACCCATTTTCCATTAGCACCCTTAAAATAATCATACTTATTTTAAATTGTTTGTGTTCCAACATCTGTGTTTTATGTAAATTTGATCCTTACACTTGTTTTGGCAATTCAGATTGTGTGTGATTTTGTGTTTGCTTTTGTTTTGTCTTTTGATATGCCTTGTACAAATTTTTTGAAAACTGAACAAGTTGTATTAGGTAATGGGTACTGAGTTACAGAGACATTTAGTATGAGGATTTATGTTAATATGTATGGAAATTTGGACTGTGTTTCATGTTTGTTGTAGCTATAAGTACCAGAGATTTTATAATCTTCTATTGTTTTTATCTCCTCTCATGGTGTTGGGGCGTTTTTATTGTTCTCCAGAGAAAGGTTGTGCCTTTTCCAGCTCTTTTAGCTCTCTATTATTATTCTGGAGGCTTGCTGGTGAGGTCATATGCTAATTAAAGTCTCATTCTTTCAGTGGGCCTGTGTCTCAGGGGTGAGTGAGATCTTCGCAACTGTTTCTGTCGCTTATACGTGGTCTACCCTCTTCCCCATTTACCCATTTCCTTCCATGGCTGTAGTGGGTTTTTTTCTTCTTGTTGTTGTTGTTTCTATTTCTTTGAAACCCTCTCCTGGTTGACTATATTTTTGTTCTTGAGTTTTTTTTTTCCTCCCTTTGGTGAGACAGAAATTCTGGATTTTGCTGGAGTGAGGCAGAATTTATTTCCTCTGGGATGAAGTTTCAAACAGAATTGTCCTCTGAAGGAGTCCTCCTTCTTGGAGATTGGGCTTCTGGTATTGAGAAAAGTTTGAGAGTGCCTCACAATGGTTACTCTTCTCCTCCTCAGTCGGGGCAATGAGGAGATTCTTCTCAGATCTTCATTATGAGAATGTGGTAGGGGTCCTGTGGAGAAAGTCTGTGAAAGTATAGCGCCCCTGCCACCACCACCCCTCCACGTCGGCAGCCCCCTGGAGCTTCTCACTCCCATGCTAGTTCACATGCAACCTCCAGTACTTTTTCACAATTTCATGTGTTTCTACCAGTTCATGAATTCCAGAGGCTTCAGTTCCATACAGGCAAATAATGGATCCTGTATCTCTCAGGATGTGCCTATGGCTCTAGACTTTAGGGTTGTAGTAACCTAAGTTATGTATAAATTTAAAAGAAGTAATTGTTTTTTAGTTTTCTAGCTTTCGATAGTAATAATGGAAGTGATGGTTTCCAAGCTCTTTCCATGCAAGAGCTGATACTAAAATAACCCACTGGTCTTTTACCCACACAATTCTCCTGAATACCTGAGATGACCACAGATGATTCAGAATATTTGATTTTTAAGACAATAACTAAAATTAAATTTAAAATATTTTTAAATATGTTAAAATATCTTGGAGAATGTATCTGTAGACTTGAATTTGAAAATAACTGATTCAGGTGAATGCTCTTTCTGAAGCACAGGGATATTTACATCAGGATTTTCAAACTGTTTCCTTGACAGGTTAAGTTGGTTTAGGTACTGTGCAAACAAAATACAATCTATCAGACAATGAAGATTTTAACTGCCCGAGGAAAGTATTCACTGCCTCTATATGTTTTATATAGAAGAGTTATAAAAAATGAGTTCTGCTGCTAAAAACGTTTGAAAAACCTAAGTCCTTAATGATCTTTCAGAGCTCTTTGAACAAGGGCCATGCCTCAAAAGATGAACAAGAGGTTCTTAAACAGCTGTGTAATTAAATAAGCTCAGGAAATGCTGTGTTAAAGTTACACAGATTATTTACTTCAGTAATTTTAATATTCTAGTTTGTGTGGTGAAAATTCAGGAGGGGAACACAGTATATTAGATGCTTTATGGTTTTTAATTAAGGTAACAGTTGTATGGGTGTTTGTTTTGTTTTGTTTGTTTTTTGTAGGACACCAATCTATATTAGTGAGACAATTAGTTTCTTGCAATGAATGATACAATTTGGGAAACACTGCTCAAATTAATGATATTATGATACATCTATTGAATGCATTACATTTTTTCAGGCACTAAGTGCTTAGTATGTATTCAATTACTCCATTTTTATAGATGAGGCCTAAAGGTGTGCTATATAACATGCCTAAGGTTATACAGTGAGTGAGTCACCAGGATTTGAACCCAGGTTTGTCTGACCTTCTATTATTGTAAATTCAGGATACAATTTATTTCAAATTCTTCAAATATGTCTTTGGTCTACCAGTTTTCTGACCTCCTGGCCTACCTATTGGCTTTCAGTAATTTTAATTATTAGATAGATGTTAACATTTCTTGTAAAACAATTCCACAGTTTTGTCCATGCGGGGCCAATGGACTAGATAAACTGGGACACTTACAAATCTGAAATTTTCTCTTCTCTGAATTTTCACAATTATATGCATCTTTTAATTTCCCAAGTTATTTTTCCTTTTGTATTTTATTTCAAAATTTTTATTTGTCTAATTCAATTTATTATCTTTTCTTTAACTTTTGATTCTCAAGCATTTTACTTTCTGATTTCAACATATATGGACTACTTCTATGTTTCATGTTGGATGTCCCCACCTTCTTGCAGCTGAACAGATGAAGGGAAAAGTGGTTGGGAGTAGTGAAAACTGATTAATTAGTATAATGAGGACTACTCTTGGAGTGCAGGAGCCTGCTAGGAAGGAAAAATAGCCAAAGTCATGATATTTGTAAAGAAAAAAACATAATTTATGTAGTGTGATTATTTTTAACCTTCTATTTTCAAATACTTGTAGATCCACAGGAAGTAGCAAAGATAGGACAAGACGATCTCCTGTACCCTTCACGTGGTCCTCCCCAGTGCTTACAAAGTAAATAAGTATAGCACAATATAAAACCAGGAAATTCACATTGGTTCAATGTGTGTATATGGTTCTATGACATTTTATCACACGTGTAGATTCATGTAACCACCACTGCAATCAAGACAAGAGTTATTCTGTTATACTTGGTGTGATTTTTGACTCATTGTATACTATGCTATGGATCCCAGCTGACATTCTTAAACGATCTTTTCCAGGGAATGGAACACAGTGAACTGTGGCTTCTAAAGCCAGTCAATGAAAGAGACAACTAGTGACGTTCAAAAAATTTGAAGCAAAACTCTACTCTGAAATAGAGATCTAGAAAAAATTATCAGAGACATCAGATAAAGCATGCAAACACTGAGATTCTTTAAACTCCATGAGAGGAGAATAAAGAAATGAGTTGGGATAAAGAGCCTAATGTCAGAAATTAATCACCTTGTAAGAGTCATGCAGTAGGGTCCTTTTCTCTCTAACACCTAACTTTGAACCATCTGATGCTTTGGAAAGATGCATATTTCTAGAGGAAAGGCTGCATAGCTACTCTCACAGGGGTCTCTAGCGTTGACTATCAACTAGACTTCATAATAAACATTAACCCAGAACTGCACTAAAATTTGAGGCAGATCTTAGCTTGTACATCTACCTGTTACATGCCTCTTTGCTCTAAATCTGGTATAATATATTGCTATTTTTAGTTATCTGGTATTCTTAAACTTACCGTAACACCTTTTTTGTTTGGCATGCACAATTATCGGTTCAATAGTGTATTTTGTCTCACAGAGATTATAATGACACATATTCTAACTTGTAAATGTTGCTATGATTTCAAAATCATTGCTTTGCTACATTAATTTGTAGTTCTAGTATTATTGGTTCCATTATACTGAAGACTGACAACATTCTTTAGTAAATAATTATTAGCTAATGCTATTTTACCCTGTAAGCACAAACACTTGGTTACAGATTTTCTGATACAACTAATGTAAGGGCTTTTTTATTCAAGCTAAAATATACAATATAAAATGATAGTGCTTATAGATTTCTTATTTATTTATGACTCTTTAATGAGGCATTGTTGGGATTAAATGGCACATGGAATAGACACAGAAAGCATACATTTCAAAGGACATTACACTGAATTATCACAATACATTAAAGGATGAAAATAACTCTGAAATATATTTTGGAAGCCACTGTTTTGTTTTAAGGTGATATTTAATATGTAAATGTAGTTTCCAGCAATACTACATAGGCCATGAAAACATAATTCAAAAAATAATTATTAACTCCAAAACTAATATGATAAAACATGGCTAGAGCTTAAACTATAAGAAATAAAACATTTAACTATAATTCTTCAACTTCAGCAAATATAAATTATTTTGCCCATAATCTTTCAGAACTTGTTTTATTCATGCAAAATTTTGCATTTATTAGTCAAATGCAATTTTGTATTTTGCATTTTCTCATCGCCTATTCCTAAATAAGTATTTTATTTTTGGTTAAATTAGTAGTTTTTAAGAAGTTTATAATATCAATTTAAATATTCTCTAATATTTGAACAATTAGTTTCCAAGTTTTAACTGTTATTAGTACTTTAAAATAAAAAGTCTTCAGAGAGATAAATACCTCCTAGTTTTCTATTACTGACTTAAACACAATCCCTTGATACACAATCATGAATAGTCCTTAAATGTAGCTAGATGAAGATGTTAACAGGGGCTCCTAAAATTTATATGATACTCTCCCTTGGCTTGAGGGGAATATTTTTTTAAACCACACTATGTATTTCAGTGATGTATGCTACTTCGTATTTAAAGGAAGGCATCCTTTGTGTTCCTAAGTATCATTCATGTTCTTCACATTTAGTACAGTACAACATTGTAAGATTAAGGGAAAATATTTTCTTGAATGTCAACTTAGTACAGATACTTCAACGTCACTCACAGGGGTATTGTGGTGGCGACTCTGCTTAGTGCTGCTAGGAGGCCACATCGGCCTTGGAAATGGGACAATTGTGTGGGCTTAGATTTCTAAGGATTGGGCAACCTCGAGAATGTTAGCTGGAGAATCCATACAGAAATTCACATATTTATCTTGCTGTGACAGAACATGCTGTGATACCGCTTTCTTGTTTTTACAGATTATTATTATTAAGCAGTATCATAATAAATAAACGCTTTGGTAATATTTAATTTCAACATGAAATCAATACTTTTAGTCATTCATTTCAGGTTGTCTTTTCATCCATATGATGTATTTTGAAAAATTGTATTTTGAAAGTATACAAATTTGGAAGAAAAAAATTGAAAATAAAAACCATTTATGAATAGGAAATAACCTTAAAAATCTGTCTGTTAAACAGCAAATATATGGGTATAACAAGTTATCAGTAGTTATGTAAATCCAATAAGCTATGGCCTACAAGAATTGGTAGATGGGGCTGTCACATTTTGCAAATATACAGAAAGCCCATTTAAATTTGGAATTCAGATAAACACGGATTTGTTTTTAGAATATCTCATGTAATAAGTATATATTGTATAATGTTTGGGATATGCTTATACAAAAATGTTGTGTGTTATCTATCAGAAACTGAAATTTAACTATGTTCTCTCTTTTGTCTGGCAACCTTATTTAAGACAGGAGACTCACTGGAATTCCAGTATTTTGGTAACTAATGCAATAAAGGTTTAGTTAAGATCATATTAAACTCTGACTTCATCACTCTACTCACATAAGCACAATACAGCCAAATAACCAAGGCAACAAATTTGACTTTATCTCTTTTTAAATTTGAATTTATCTTTTTCAGATTTTTTTTCACTCTTCACCCACATATACACACACATATTCATGAAAACTAACCAGTTATTTGCAACATTTTGAATCTAGTTTTAGGAAGAAATGTATCTGTGTGATTGTTATTGCCTAGTTATTTATATCATAGGGTTTATAAAAGGTTCCACTAAGTAATGAAATGTTAGATGGCTTGTCTGATTTAAATAACCAAACTTTAAAAGGAGCTTATTCATTATTATATATAAAGCAATTTTCCAAGAGCACAGCTGTGCAATTTTATTCCATTGAAACCTCCTCCCACTTAGCAAAATATTTAGATATGTAGACATATAGATAGAGAATTATAATAGGGCAGAGAGGAAATAGACAATGATTAAAGGATAAATTCCATTTGCCACAACATATTTTCATGATTTCCCCCCCATGAATCTACTGCCTTTGGGGTGTTTGGTGGCTAAAATAGCAGTGAGAGCTTGTTGTCGCTGAAGCATGTTGTTGCAAATGCTTTATGCCCTGCCTTTCTCCCAGTGACTCTCTTGCTTTCTTTCCTAATGGTACCATCTGCCACTCATAGAACTGTCGCAGAAAACACAGAGATCTGATCAAAGGTCATTGGTATTGATAGCGCTTACTTAGCAGGTGCCTCTGCAATCAGTTTTAATGAGTTTGAGCCCTACTTATTTCTCCTCCTGCTACTGGTCTATTGAAAAAAAAAAATAGTTGGCAGAGGTGTCAATGACACCACAGGCACAAACTTCCTTGATAAGCTTTGATTTAA
Source organism: Homo sapiens (assembly GCF_000001405.40). Taxonomy (NCBI): domain Eukaryota; kingdom Metazoa; phylum Chordata; class Mammalia; order Primates; family Hominidae; genus Homo; species Homo sapiens. The sequence goes on from NC_000002.12 coordinate 103,352,917, forward strand.
AGAGCCAAGAGGCAAAACCCAAAGTAACTCCTGATGCGTGTGTTCCTGTGACAGAGGCAGTTAGAGGAGGCTTAGGAAACTCATCTTTGAGTGATAGTGAAGACTCAGTACGGCATTGGCCTCATCGTTATTCCACAAGGCTCACCTGCAAAGTGTATCCGCAAGGTGCAATTTGAAGTGATTATTTTAATCACAAAGTTTCAAATGGGAGCAACATGAGAGATCACCACCCAAATTTTCAGATGTTCAATGCCATTTTCAGGTAGGCTCACTGTTTTTTTTTTATGAAACCCTGAATGTCCTGCTCACCATCACTTGTTGGTCTTCTTATTCATTTTCTTTAAAACACCTGGGATTTTTTTAGGTGACCTAGATCAGTAGCAATCGATGATAAATAGAGTTGTGAGTTGCTGCCAAATCTTGGGTGGGTAGGCCAAAAAGCACATAGATAAAAAAGCAAAAATTATTTAAACCTTTGCCAAGGAAAGGGCACTCACTATAACTATTATGGCTTATTTAAAAAGCAACAATAGGTCACAACTTGTGTGTTATCCACCTCCTTTAATTTATGCCTTCATCTGATCAGTTATTCTTAAAAATGTTATTAGAACACTTTGTGTATGTTTGTGTGGCAGACATGAAGTTAAGCAGTAGACAGTGCTGGACACGGGCTATGATCTTTGCCCCAGTGGAGTCTAGTGGTAATTATGTGTTGACTTTTATGAGTTTCCTAAAACCTAAGTTAATTTCTTTGATTTTATGCCGAACTTATTAACTCTTGATTTCGATTTTTAAGAGAAGTCCTGTGGTAGAACCTATTGAGTTTAATGCTTATTTTACATGGATAATTGCTTGGGGCAGGGATAATCTTTTTTGACCACTGGGGTACATTAGTTATCTATTGCTATGCAGCAAATTACGCCAGCTTAGTGACAAAAACCAACAAGTATTTATCTCACTCTGTTTCTGTAGGTCAGGAATCCAAGCGCGGCTCAGCTGCTGGTTCCGGCTCAGCGCCTCCACTCGGCTCGCACTGAAGATGTGGGCCAATGTTGCAGTTATCTGGAGGTCTGGCTAAGCTGGTGATCCACTTTAAGTGCACTTATGTGACCAGTGGCTGGGGACTTCGGTTCCTCACTGCAAAGGTATCTCCATAGGACTGTTCGTAATACAGCAGCTGGCTTCTTTAAGAACAAAGGGAGCAGGAGCGAGAGACAGTCCATGAAAAAAAGCTGCATTGCCTTTTATAATCTAATAGTGGAGGTGACACGCCATCATTTCTGCCATGTTTTATTGGTCACACAGACCAACTCTGGTACAATGTAGGAAGGGATTAAACAGGGAAGTAACACCAGAATATGGAAACATTGCGGGGGGTGGCGGGGGGGGGAGGTCCTCTGAGAGACTGCTACCACCTGTGGTTTTCATAATACCAAATATGGAAAAGTTTTACTATTTTAATTTGCAACAGCTAACAAAGTCAGTGGATGAAAATAGGGTTTTTCTCTGTCAATGAAATAAAATTGTTTAAAAATTGTTACTATGTTGCCTTCTTAATTGATTAAATTGCTTTAAGCAGTTATAGGTCACCTTCTGAATCTCATATTGGTGTGCCCTTCTGTGCAGTCCTAGTGAAAGTTTCTCTTTCAGCTTGTTAAAAAACATTTCTTCTTGTTATAAAAATCATATGGGGCTATATTAGTTTTCTGTTCCTGATATGATTTATTACATAAACTTAGTAGCTTCAAACAATATCATTTTTTCTCACAGTGTCTATGGTTTGGACCTGATGGGGGCCTCACCTTATGCTTTCAGAGGATTGGACTCAAGGTGCTGGCTGAGTTGCATTCCTTACAAGAGACCCTGAAGAGGAATTTTCTTCCACTGATATTCAGGTGTTTGGCTGAATTCCGTTCCTTTTGGTTGTAGGTCTGAGGTCCTCTTTACTTGGTAGCTGTCAGATGGAGTGTTTACTTGAGAGCTGTCAGATGGAGCCTGGTCTTTGCTCCCTGAAGCGCCTGTGTTTCTCTCGTGCTTTCCATATGTCTTGGCCCAGCAACAGCAGGTCAAGTCTCTCTCATGCTTTGAATCTGACTTCTCCTTCTGCCCCCTGTTTGCCTTCAATCAAAAAAATTTATTTGAATTTAGGGGTTTATGTGATTAGATTTTGCCCACCCAGATAACCGCAGATCATCTATCTTAAGACCCTAATCAGTCCAGTATTTGCAGCTAGGTACTTTTGTCACATTCCACTTCTTGCCAATAGAATTTGAGAGCCTTCCTTCATTTGGTCTTCTCTCTGTCCCATGAAGTTTTTCCTGGCGCACAATTCTTGAGAACCTTGTGGATGTTGTGTGAATTTCAGAGGTTCAATCCATTAGTTAGAAGCACTGTCCATAAATCTCTTTGAGGTAATGTCTTCTCTATCTTTGGCTTCTGCTGAGATGAACTACCCCCTCAATCTTCCTAAAGGCCCTCTGGTTTAAGAGGATGTGTGGGGCACACCCTCAGTCTCTTCAAAGAGCCCTTTGTGTGACTCAACAAGCTGATATTTTGATGTTTCTGAGGTTTTAGTTAAAAAAGAAAAAACAACCTGTAGGCCCGGCATGGTGGCTCATGCCTGTAATCCTAGCACTTTAGGAGGCTGAGGGTGGCAAATTGCTTGAGCCCAGGGGTTCAAGACCAGCCTGGACAACACAGAGAAACTCTGTCTCTACAAAAAAATACAAAAAACTAGCCAGGCATGATGGTGTGCACCTGCAGTCCCAGCTACTCAGGGGGTTGAGGTGGGAGGATGGCTTGAGCCCAGGAGTTTGAGGCTGCAGTGAGGCATGACTGCGCCTCTGCACTCCAGCCTGGTTGACAGAGCAAGACACTGCCTCAAATAATAATAATAATAATAATAATAATAATAATAATAATAATAATAATAAAACTTTTAATTTTTTGTCTTTTGCCACCTGGATAGCCAAGAATTCCCCAAATCATCAAGTCTTGGTCTCTTTTTATTTAAAAGGTTTTTCTCAATATATCTCTCTTCTTACATTTTCTTACATTTTACTGTGAACAGCATGAAGGAACTAGAAGCTTTCAAATGTGAATTTTTTTTTGAAATCTCCTTAACTAATTATCCAAGTTCACCTCTTACAAGTTATGCTTTCCCCATAACTGCAGGACAATTCTGTTCAGCTTTCTGCTGCCATACAGCAAAGATGTCTCTTCCTTCCCTTTCACATAGCATGGAAAACTTCCTGCTGAGCCCTCACCAATAGCACCTTTAATATCCATATTTCTACTAACAGTGTGTTCAGGACAATTTTGATCTTCTTTAAGATGATGTGCGGTTCCTCTTTAATGCTCCTTCATTGATCTAAAACTACTATGATTTATTTTGATACTGGTGTAGGGCAGAAAAGATTTCTTTTCTCACCCATGACTAGCCTTGTAGCTAAGACACCTATGACAAAAGACAGATTAACAAAAGAAAAGCATACACATTTTAATGTAAGTTTTATGTGACACGGGAGCCTTCAGAAATGAAGACCTAAAGAAAGAGGTAAACTCGTGCATTTTTATGCTTAGGTTTGATGAAGGGTAGACAGCTATAAAGTGTGATTGTATGAGTGGTCTTAACTCATTATAATAGACTGGGGACAACTTAACAAGGCTTGTTTTTTTTCAGATTCTTCTAGGCATCCGGTGTCTTCAGAGATAAGGATATTAATGAGGGCCTGACAACCCTCATTCAGATGAAGGTCAGAGAATTCTTTTATGGCCTGCTTTAGGTGAGAAGGGTGGGAGAAGGTGAGATTGACCTTCCTACCTCTGCTGTTTTCTCAAATGCTAAGATGTTATATTTTGGGGTAGCATACCCTAAACACCATAACTGGCATACCTCACAAAATATTCTTCAGAACCTTAGAGACTTTATAAATACACATGTAAAATAATCTACATATATTCTGTTTCTCAAGTAAATTTATGTGTACTGCCTCTTCCAGTGATGACAGACATCATAACTGACAAAGACACTCTTTCCTTCTGAGCCAAAACACTGTCTCACCATCATGCTAAGCAATGCTCTCCAGGCATCATTAATAAACCCTAAGTTTTTCATGTGGAAGAAAATTATTTTCCAAATACTACTTCCTCATACTATTATCTAGCATAATCATCGTGATAATATTAAACAGAAACTTGCCTAAAAATACAAAACCAAAATAATGAAGATGTCTTATAGGATCACTTGATGAAGCCTCTTAATTTAACTACGTATAATACAAAGAAAAATGTTTCCTATCATTTTTACACTATTACTTTATCTTAAAAAAAGATCATTATGAAAAAACTCAAGCAACACAGAATAATACAAACAATACATCAAGAACTACCCTCATTTCCCATTACCCAGAAATTGAAACTCAACATTTGCTGGAGATCATTCTGGATATCTCTGTCTTCCTATATTTGCATGGGCTGATAGATGAATAGACAGAATTATTCATAAAAATAAAAAATTTCAAAGACAGAACATAATGCACATGTGTTTCAATAAATGACATTTTGTTTTATTTGAATCACAGAAAAAAAGAATAAAATTGAAATAGTGGTTAAATATCTAGTAAATGTTTATTCACCTATGAGAATTTTTTTATCATTTCCTAAAAGATATTTATATTTTATTTACTTTTTAGAGATGAGATCTCAGTAGGTTTCCCAGGCTGGAGTGCAGTGGCTATTCACAGGCATGATCACGTGCATAACAGCCTCTAACTCCCCAAGCTCAAGCAGTCCTCTTGCCCCAGTCTCCCAAGTAACCGGACTATTGGCATGTGACATTGTGTCCAGCTCATTTAAGAAATTTTTAAAGGACACTTTTAAAATAAAATAAAAATCATTTGGGTGTTAGGAACATTTGTGTTTGGTAATTACGCATTTCAACTTGAGCAGTAGGTTTGTCTCCCTGCTAAGAAAAATAATAAATTCAATTAAATATTCTTACACAAGCTGGCCTCATATTTTTTTATTTTTGTTAGTTGTAGATGTATTTTTAAATTGTCAGCATGGTTGAGAGTATATTAATAGCATATTGTATATTTAGTCTTGATTTTATATTTTAAATAACTCCAGGTTCACTCTCAGCTCTTGTCATAAAGCCTCCAGTGTTCAGTTCTTTATTTTATTTCATTTCATGATTGGTTGAATTTCATCTTCAAATAGCACCCTTTTATTTTTTTTTTCAAAAAGGATTATTGGTGTCAGTTCGGTGCCTTTGAAGTTAAAGAAAACCTCATCTGATGATAAAATTCTTGAGACATTCTTTCCTTCAGATCTTTGTTGACATTGATCTCCTGTCTACAGGAATTTAGTATTGTGGTGGAGAAGACAAAGCCAAGATAATATTGGTCTTTTTAGGTGATTCGTTTTTCTGCTTAATTGCTCATAGTTTAGCCTTGAAATTAAATGACTTCACCAGAATTGACTTTATCAGTCTTTGTTTTGTTTTTGTTTTTCCAAACTGGAAATGAAAGCTCTTTAGATCTGTAGACTTGCATTGTGAATTCAGAAAACATTTCTTCTAATATATTTGAACAGGTATCTTTTTTCTTCTCCCTTTTCAGCTTTATTCTTCAGAAGAACCCATTTTTGTATGTTGGATCTCTTTTATCTAGTGTCCAATCATTGTAATTTCTATGTACCATTGTTTATTTCACTTCATTTTATATAATTTTCTCAAATCTGCCTCTACAACCTGATGATCTAATGTTTTGTTTACTGAAATATATCTTTCACCTCTATAATGGTATTATTTTTCCCTTTTCAATCTTTCTTACAGTCTACCAGCTCACTTTTATTTTTTGTGGTATAATTTACATGAAAAAAAGTCAGCCATTACTGTTGTATGAGTGTTAAAAAATGTATAAATGTGTGTTACCACCACTACACACAGCAAAAGACAGAATCATCTTGAGCACATTCAAAGTTCCTATGAACCCCTTTGTAGGCAATCTACTTTCCCATCCTAAGGCCTTGGCAACCACTAAACTTTTTTGATTAGATAGTTTTGTTTTTTCCAAAATACCACATAAATGAAATGGTACAGAATATGATGTTGAGTCTTGTTTCTTTTACTTAGCATACTACATTTTTAATACAACAATATTGCTTTGTTCAGCAATATTGTTCTTCTTTAATATCTGTTCTTCTTTAATGCTGAATAATATTCCATTGCATGAATGTAACAGTTGTTCGTTTAATCCACTCATCAACTGAAGGACATTTAGATTATTGCCATTTGTTGGTGATTATGAATAAAGCCTTAAAAACATGCAGTGCACATACAGCTTTTCGTGTGAATATGACTTTTTATCTTTGTCATATAATGAATAGTGAGATTGTTAAACTCTATGCTAAATGTAACTTTATCTATATATATAAAATTTTTATAAAGCTTTTAAATAAGAGTTAGGAGATATACCTAATGCTAAATGACGAGTTAATGGATGCAGCACACCAGCATGGCACATGTATACATATGTAACTAACCTGCACATTGTGCACATGTACCCTAAAACTATATAATAATAATAAAATAATTTAAAAAAAAGAGTTTGTAAAACTTTATACAAACTACTAAACTCTTTTCCTGAGTGGTCAAACCATTCTGCATTTTCACCAGCAATGTATGAGCCCGTCATTTCACATTCTCACCAGCAGCTGGTATTGTCAGTTTTTAGAACTCCATCGTAATTGGTGTATAGTGGTATCTCATTGTAGTTTTAAGTTGTATTTCCTTAATGACTAACCATGTTGATTTTCTTTTTATGTGTTTATTTGCTCTCTACATACGTATCTCATCTTTGGTTAAATGTCTGTTCAAATCCTTTTCCCATTGCTTTTACCTGGATATTTGATTTCGTATCGTTTATGTTTGAGTGTTCTCTGTATAGTCTGAATATATATGCAGAGGTATTTTCCATGAATATTTTCTCAAAATTTATGTATTTACTTTTCCTTCTATTAACAATGTTGTTCAAAGAACAGCAGGTTTTAAGTGTGATGATGTCTAAATATTATTTTTTCTTCCATTTATCATATTTTTGGTGTCATATCTAAAAACTATTTGCCTTCTTCAATGTCAAAAATACCATTTTCTCTGTTTCCTTTTGGATGTTTTATAGTTTTAGGCTTTACGTTTTGGTGTATAATTCCTTGGAGTTAATTTTTGTATTTGATGCGGGTATAGGAAAATGTTCTTTGCCTTATTTATTTTATTTTATTTTTTTTTTGAGACGGAGTCTTGCTCTGTCACCCAGGCTGGAGTGCAGTGGCGATCTCCGCTCACTGTAACCTCTGCCTCCTGGGTTCAAGTGATTCTCCTCCCTCAGTCTTTCCAGTAGCTGGGATTACAGGCACGTGCCACCACGCCCTGCTAATTTTTTTTATTTTTAGTAGAGACGGAGTTTTACCGTGTTAGCCAGGATGATCTCGATCTCCTGACCTCGTGATCCGCCTGCCTCGACCTCCCAAAGTGCTGGGATTACAGGAATGAGACACCACGCCCAGCCAGTTATTTGTCTTTAGTTGCATGTAGACGTCCAATTGTTCCAGCTCCTTCTGTTGAAAAGACTCTTTTTATATATAATTACTTTTTTTCACCTTTTTCACCTTTTTCACCTTTGTCTTTTTGAATTTCTTTCATCAGTGTTTTATAGTTTTCACCACAGAGGTCTTGTGCATATTTTGATAGATTTTTTATTTAAATATTTCATTTTGTGTTACTGTCATTAATAATTTTTTAAATTTTCCATTCTCAACTCTTATCACTGCTGTATAGAAATTCGATTTATTTTTATTCATTTTGTGTTCTGTGATCCTGCTAAACTCATTTATTATTTCTAGTAGCTTTTTTGAGATTGTTATTTTCTAAATATGCAACAATGTCATCTGTGAATACAGACAGTATTTTAGTCATTCCTTTTCAATTTGTATGGCTTTTATTCTTTTATCTTGCTTTATTTTAGTCTCTGGTCATCTTCAATAAAATGATAGAGTTGCTATATTGATATATGTTCCACATCTCTCTATATATTACACACACACACACACGCACACACACGAGTGTGTGTGTATGTCAACCAGCTCAATTTGAATTTCAGATAAACAACACATAATTTTTAATTTTCTTTTTTGAGACGGAGTCTCACTCTGTCACCCAGGCTGGAGTGCAGTGGCTAGTGATCTCAGCTCTGCAACCTCCACCTCCTGGGTTCAAGCAATTCTCCTGCCTCAGCCTCCCAAGTAGCTGGGATTACAGGCATGCACCACCATGCCCAGCTAATTTTTGTATTATAGTAGACACGGGATTTCACCATGCTGGCCAGGCTGGTGTGGAACTCCTGACCTCAGGTGATCCGCCCACCTCGGCTCCCAAAGTGCTGGGATTACAGGCATAAGCCACTGCACCCGGCCACACCTAATTTTTATTACAAGTATATCCCAACTATTACATGGGACATACTTTTACTAACTTTTTATTTATGATTAAAATTTAAAGGTATTTTCTGTGTTTTCTATGGCAACCCTAAACAGTGGTGGTGACATAAACACATCAATATTAGCACCCCTATAAAAAAAGAAAAATTCAGATTGCTCCTGAATCACTGCTTCTCGTGCCTGTATGCTCACAAATGGTAAACTCACTGGCTGAAGTTCATATGAAATATTTTCATGATTCTTTTTTTCCCTCTGTTTCAAAACAGAATATCTGAAAATGTTGTTTAAATCTCAGTCAAGTCCCAAAAGTCAACATTAAACTTAGGCTCATAAAAACAACTTTTCCTCCTCCTCCAGCGCCTCAGTCTCCTCCTCTGCCGCCTCCTCCCGCTCTTCCTCTGCCTCCTCTGCCGCCTGCCCCTCCCCCGCCGCCTCTCCCTCCCCCTCCCCCGCCGCCACTTCCCCCTCTCATGCCGCCGCCTCCCCCTCTCCCGCCTCCGCCTCCTCCCGCCTCCGCCTCCTCCCGCCTCCGCCTCCTCCTCCGCCTCCTCCTCCTCCTCCTCCTCCTCCGCCTCCTCCTCCTCCTCCTCCGCTTCTGGCTTCTCCTCCTTCTTCTCAGGCTCATCACAACAACTTTTACACCTCCTCCTCCTCCTTTTCTTCTTCTTCTTCTTCTTTTTTTTTTTTTATGGCGTCTCGCCCAGCCTGGAGTGCAGAGGCAGTCTTGGCTCACTGCAACCTCCACCTCCGGGGTTCAACTGATTTTCCCGCCTCAGCCTGCTGAGTAGCTGGGATTACAGGCACCCTCATCAAGTCCGGCTAATTTTTGTATTTTTAGTAGAGACAGGGTTTCACCATGTTGGCTAGGCTGGTCTTGACCTCCTGACCTCGGGTGATCCTCCTGCCTCGGCCTCCCAAAATGCTGGGATTACAGGCGTGAGCCACCACGCACGGCTTCTGTTGTTCGTTGAAATCATCATTTTTCTAATGTCCTCATTCTCTGCTGGCTAGTTTAAGGGCTGATTCAAAAAATAAATTTTCACACTGTGAAATACGCAAGATGAAGAGAACATTTATAAAATATCCATACTGTGCATCTCTGAATAATCTTTTCTTCACATCAGCGGCAGTACAAATTAGGTGGAGTTTTAAAAGATACTTCAGCAACTTACAGATTACAGCATGTTATGTATCTTCAAGGTGAGTATTCAAAACTATCAAGAGAATACTTTATTTCATCTTTAATGAAGTGGGCTGTTTATTCAAAAAGCTCACAGGGCTAAATCCTGTAACCTGAGATAATCCGGGTACTAAATCTTTAGATTTGTTTTAACAGATACATATAGTGGGATCAATCATTTAAGAATGTAATCAGTTTCTCTGCAAATTGTCCTTTGCTTTATTCATTTGCATATATACACTTGTGGTATGGGGATTCAAATTCCTCATTCTCAATTACTATAATGTATTTTGCTGCCCTGCTGAAAATGTAACATTCATATTACATTTTTCTTGCATAATTTTAATGATCTTATAATGATATGATTAACGTTTAGATAAACTAAATATTTACTAAGAGTAGGGAAATATAGATGTTAATTTGTTTTGTTCTCTCTTTACTACATTGGAAACTTTGGAGACTTGCTGTTTAATATAAAGATTAGTTCACTCGGTCAAGAACTCTTACTTTTGAAAAAAAAATCATGTTTCATTTGTCATTTCCCTCAAACATTGAATAATGGCTTAAATGATGTTAAATTCTCTCAGCAAAGTGGGAACGTGGGGCTTGGAAGCATTATTAGTTTTTATTAGTTCTAGTTTCATTTAATAAAATTTTGGATTATATAAGTATTTTAAAAAGAATAAGATATTCTTTTCTGCACTGGCTGATTTGTGGAGCCAAATGATAATGTACTTATGTTTAATTCTGTCCCAAACCTTAAAAAATGTACCCCCAAATCACTTTACAAGTCATGCAAATTGGACTCTTCTGAATGGGTTTCATAGACTTTCCAGAAAAATTTCAAAATGGAGTAGGAATTGAAGAGTACCCTGAATATTCACAATATTTGCATGCTGCCTGTTGGTCGACATATTAGATAGGACATCCTGCCACCGGGAAGGGAGAGCACCAAGCGTGGAGCGGTTCTATTCTTCACTTCTTTCTATTATTTTTCAAGCAATTTGAAAATACCTCATTTGTATGCATTTCCTGAATGTCGTATATGTTAAGATTGGCTACATATAAGAGATCAGCCTCAAACTAAATGACAGCTTTGCCAATATAAGAATTGATCCAAATCCTTCTATGAAAAACAAAAATTGCATTTAATGAAAAGTTAAGTGCCTAGTTTTATCCATCTGTAATTGGAAATGGAATTAAAACAAATTGCTACAAACAAGGAGTTGTAGTAAAAATGTCAACTCAGCATTACATTTTTTTTTTCCCTGAGATACCACCATCCACTCATAAGTGGAATCATCTGTATTGAAGGAGCTGAGGGGAATGACAGAGGAGTGGAGAGGAATGCTTTCTGATAAATCAACTACAGACTCAACATGAATCATCAAATTTAATAATTTAAAGATTCATGAAGAAATAAGTGATGCCAAATGTGCTTTAAGAAAAATATCTGTTTAAATGATACTAATGGTAAGGCAGAATATAGCAGGGTGAACCACACTGATAATATTAAATTACCCCAAGAGGTTCCCTAGTCAGAATCCCTATGCAGAAATCTGCTTGCCAACTGTCGTTCCTTTTCCCATTGGTTTAGTTAAGGGTTGAAGTTCTTCTTGAAGTTTCTTTTTTAATCATCAGATCCCGACCTTACAGTTTTTGCTGACTACTTTCCTTCAGGCTGTCTTTGCTCCTGTCAATTTAGGATTTCCAGGGAATTATTCTTCTTTGAAATGCATATTCCAGGCTTGCAATGCTGGCATATGTACACTGTAGAGTAATTGTGGAGGCCAAATGTTTAATTACACATGACAGCTGGAGCTGTAGGAGTCCGAGGCTTGCTTGAAAACAACGTATGCCCTATGCAGCCTTAAGAGAAGGAACACAGTTTACACACACACACACATACACATACACACACATTTCGTTCCACATTTTGTCCACTACATTTTTAAGAAAAATAAAATCAGCTACAGCTTTAATAGAAGTTCAACTATTCACACTTGAATATATTTAAGTAAGCAATATAAAAGCCTTTTTTCCTCAAATCCAACCACGCATTTTTACCAAAAATGCAGCTAAAAATTCTGGAAGACCTTTTCTTCCCCTGTGAAGGGTTTGAAGATAACATGTGGTTTAGGAAAATAAGTGGTATAAAGACAAACTATAGCTCATGGGAACACACTACCAAAGAGTTATTAATGAAAACCAATTAAAAAGGCTCAATTGAAAATGTTGAGGGTCACAATTTTCATTATATTGTTACCAGTAAAATATACCCATCTTTTTCATAGTTACAAATTAGCATATCTCCAGCACATTTATATACCCACAAGAGGGGAAACAACGTGACATTGTTGCAATGTTATGTTTCACATTCAGGTTAAACATAAATTTTTAAATTTCCCTTGGATGTGTTGACACTGAAGATTTAGTAATAGCTATTTCTCCCCAAATATCACCCATTGAACATCCGTAGATGATCATGGAGCAGTCCTTGAATGTTTTGATAGTAAGAATACTAATGGCTTTCAGTTTCCAGGATTGTATTGCGAATTTTAAATGCTTATTGAATCCTCGTAACCAATCTTCCCACACGTTCTGACTTTAGGACTTTTTTGGTCCCCATTTTCCTGGTAAGAAAATACATGTCCGGATAGGTTAAGAAATTTGCTGAGGTAACATAAAAATCAGTGGTAGGGCTGTAATCCCAGAGGCCAGGTTTCTCTATACACCTTATTATATTGCCTTCAGTATTTATTTCTGTCTTTTTGCATTTGTCAATGAAATGGAATATTTACAATGTGTGTGTATATAATAATAATAATAATAATAATGATAATTTATAATGTTAACTACCCAAAATAAGTGCTTAAATGCCTCTGAATGGGCCTAGCACATGATCCAAAAACAACAAGCCTGGCTTGATTATTTTAACTTTGAGTCTGTAATACAAAAGAAGAAGGGCATCCATACCTTGTTTTACAAAGCTAGAAGAGTCAGAGGAAGGAATAATTTTTTTTTTTCTTTTTTTTTTTTTCTTTTGAGATGGAGTCTAGCTCTGTTGCCCAGGCTGGAGTGCAATGGTGTGATCTCGGCTCATTGCAACCTCCATCTCCTGGGTTCCAGCGATTCTTGTGCCTCAGTCTCCTGAGGAGCCAGGATTACCGGTGTCTGCCACCATACCCTGCTAATTTTTATATTCTTAGTAGAGACGGGGTTTCGCCATGTTGGCCAGGCTAGTCTTGAACTCCTGACCTCAGGTGATCCACCTGCCTCGGCCTCCCAAAGCGCTGGGATTACAGGCGTGAGCCACTGCACCCAGCCGTACAGGACTCTTTCAAACTGAGGTGTAGTTTAGATTATCTATGGCTAGAAAACAAAACACATATAAAGTAGAGATTCGGCTAATATGGGCAAGTAAGCGTCATGTCGAATCCACTTTCCACTTCCTTCAATAGAAATATCTTCTTATTTTTTAATTCATTTTCCATTTTTAATGTTTTTCTGGGCATATTTTACTTCCAAAGAAATGCTTTACATACATCTAGGAATTTTCTAGATATCTGTGAAGGACCGATGCCTCTTTTCCCCATTGTCACTGTAGCTTTGCTGGGCCACCAAGAGCGGCACCACTTTGTCTTCATTCTGCCATACAGTACTTACCAGTTTGTGTCATACCAAACAAGGCTTTCTTTCTACCTTTGTCAAGAAACAAATAACAACAGCTATCTTTATCAATTTTTAATGAGAATGTATCACCCCTGCAGTTCAAGCTAAAAGAGAACAGGATGAACTATAACAATGAGAGCTTTCAGGGACTAGCTCTGGGTAGAATTGGAAAGGCACTTTCTCTCATCGTTTCCTAATTGAGTAAAGGTAAATGACATCCTGGCACTGTCTGCAATGCACTTGGAAATCATGGTTTGGCATCAAATTGCAGAGCTTACCTACAAAATGAAGCATTTATTTAATTTTAAAACAGTAGAAAATCTATGACATTTACTCATTTGCCAACTCTAAAATATAAAAATGTGAAATCACGTCAAATTGTTCAATATCATTTTAAAATGTATTCCATTTGTGTAATTGTATTGAGGCCACCTGGTATCTCAAAGTTTTTGAGTAATTTCTTTTATTTTTTTGCAACTGGAAATAGTTTTCTTTAATTTTTTTTAAAGAGTCTTCAAATATTTAGTTATTTGCTTTATTTTAAAGTTAGGGTTCAAATATGTTAATACTAAATTAATAGGTCAACAATGGTTTAAACTTTATTGTATACTTTAGATAAGGTCTCATCTGTTTTTTGTGCTGTTAAGAGATGAATCTTTTAGTTACAGCTCTCTCGGTGCCACTTGTGAAGACCTCAACCAGGAATGGTGTTTGGTATTGGAAATAAGAGACTTGAAACCATTTTGTGGGACAAATTTTGATAAAAGGAAATTAATTTTTTAGAAAAAGCTTCATTTATAAGATATTATTATCACCAAGAAGGGAGAAATTGTCTTTCTAATTGCAGGAACTGAGATTTAAACCTTCAAAGACCATCACCAAATCTAACTTGATTTAGCTCATAGTAGAACAAACAGCAAAGAAACAAATTTCCCCATCAAAATATTCTTCTACCCTGAGCAGTGTTGGAAAATTAGGCTGATAAGGAAGGAAGGAAGATAAGCAGGGTCATTACCATGATGAGCAGTTTCTTTAAGCTAACGACAAAGCCAAGCTGGGAATTTCTTGGTTTTTTTTAAGAAGGTTGATATTTTGTAGTTAGCGGTGAATTTTTATGACATAGTTGACCAATTTGAGTAATTAAGCCAATCTTCCTTCCCTAATTTTTCTTCCAAATTGTCCAAATGAAACTAAAAATTTTCTGGATCATGTAGACAAAATACCTAGTTGGGTTTGGTTTTACTTACCCAACCAGCAGAATCAGACAGACCTTCCTGGAAGTTCTCTCCTATTTACTGCATTATTTTTACTGTCTCTATCTCCCCACTCTAGTGCCTTTGTTCATAGCCATACATTCCATGACAAATAACTGTACTTCTGGATAAAAACTTGAAAACTAATACATATTTGATCTGTATATTAAGTAATTGAGTATATAAAAATAAAACTGATTTTGGTGGGCTTTTTAAATAAATTTTTGAAATTCAGGCAATAAATTTTAATGTCTTCTATTTGAGAAATATAAAATGCATCTTCATAAAAATTTACTTAGTAGAAAATACAAAGTCAAGTGGTATAGAATCACATGAAGATAATTTAAATTCTATGACTTAAAATAATGCCTTTGCAATTATAGAATTGGTTTTCAATTGGTTGAGTCATTGAAAATAATTAGGCTGAGAGAGAAATGTTTGCGAAGTTTTTTGTTTGTTTGTTTTCTAAACTTCTTCGTAAATTAACTGCACAACGGTAAATTCCACGTATATACAAAGATTTCTAGTCATGAGACTGAATTGTCAATGTGTAAGGGATATTGCACAATGTGTAAGGGGTATTAGAAAAATTGATAACTGTGGAGTAAAAAATATCTTTTGCCTTTGTTTCAGCAATTTTAAGCCAAGTAAATGCTAAACCTTTGGCAAGTCAGTTAACTTTTCTGTGACATGTTTTGCACATCTGTGAAATGAAAAATATAAGTGCCAATCATTTAGAGTTCCTTCCACTGAAACCCAGGTAGTATTCACTTCTACCTTTTCCCTCTGAAACTAAATTGCTAAGCTTTGGGAGTAATCAGGAGTCTTAATCCTATTGTTTCTCTAGCATAGCTTAGCATCCTTTTCAGATGGTCTGTTTATGGTCCCACTGAGGCGGGGGTCTGCTTCCCTTAGTCTGAAGTGATCAGGAAGCATAATCCCATCCTTTTCCCCTGGCTGCCTTGTTTACTCAGCCTCCAGCATGAGTAAGGTAGTACAGGCAGTGAATTTTAGAACTACTGGAGGCCAATGAAGGGAGGTCTGTGCAAGGAGGCATTTCTTTTGGATACCGCCTTCCATGCTAAGTTAACTCTCCTCCCTTGGTGTCTTAGTCCATCTGGGTGGCTATAACAAAACACCATAAACTAGGTGGCTTATAAACAATTGAAATATATCTATCTCTCTCACAGTTCTCACAGCTGGAAGTCCAAGATCAAGGTGCTAGCACATTGGGCGTCTGGTGTGGGCCCTCTTCCTGGTTCATAGACAGCCATCTTATTTCTGGGTACTCACATGGTAAAAGGTGAGGGAGCTCTCTGGGGTCCCTTTAATAAGGACACTAATCCCATTCATGAAGTCTCCACCATTATCACCTAATCACTCCCCAAAGGAGCCACCTCCAAATGACGTAACATTGGAGGTGAGGTTTCAACATGTCAATTTTGGAGAAACACAAACATTCAGAGCATAACACTGAGATTCCTACCTAGAAATTCTGTACTCCCCTCTTCAAGTGACTCTCACTGATCAGTCCCCTCATGAAAACTCTAGGCCCTCAACAGAAGGAGATCTCCAGGCTTGGTTCCCTCCTGGGTCCTAGTGCGAGGGAGCCCAGATGCTTGCACCTGTCTAAACACAGCCACTGGGGCAGTTGAGATATTCTAACCCATTGGACTTGGAAATGAGTGTTCCATTTTCAGTTCACCCTTCCAACCAGCAGTAAGTGGCAGGAATATGGGGCTGCTGGTTGCCTTGCTCAGTGACCTGTTAAGAAAACACAACATTTGAAAAACTTAATTTTTCTTTAAGTCAATAAACTCTCATGGACAAATAGGTATCCATGATTGCAGTGATGTACTTTGTCTTATTAACCCTTTGGTGGCCTGATGACATCAAATGCACACATACAGGAGCAAAACTAAATTGCTCTTATTGTGCCACCAGCTCTTGGTAAATTCTATTTAATTAGCACCTATATCTCATCCTCCCCCTCTACCGGGGGAGGTTGTCGGGCTTTCCAGCCACATTTTCATACTTTGCCATTGTGCATGGGCATAATAAAAGTGTTGCACAAGTGAGACATTATTGCTATGGAAATGAGGGCTAGTTTGCATCTGCATTTCTTCAAATCTATGATGCCATCATTGTAAAATATATAGCATTATTGTGAGCACCAATAAGACACAACAGCAAAACAATGATGCCATTAACTCTGATAAAACAGTGATTTTAAAATACATCCCAATTGCAGAGACGCTCAAATGTGAAAAAGTATGCATCCTAGACTCTATAAAACATAACAAATAGAAAAAATATATATGCATTTACCTAAGGGGTTGTAACAAAGTAGAATTAAAAGGCATATATGCATTTCTTAACAAGTAACACAAGTAATTATTGCAACACAATATAACGTAAGTTAGGTTCCAATGTGTCAATCAAGTTCACATAGTCCTTTTAGCTTTCTTTCTGAGGTTGGCTAACTAATTTGCATATAATATCATTTTGAATTTTTTCCATTTTAACACCATTTGTCTTAACTTCTTTTCCTGAGTTAGGCTCACTTTTGGATTTAAGACCTCTTGAACTTACTTTTTAAAAGTTGTTTTTTAGTGGAAAAAAATGATGTATGGTGTGTGTGTGTGTATGTGTGTGTGTGCTTGTGCATACGTGTGTCTTAGGAGTCAAGGCATAAATAAGGCCGCAATTAAGCTATGGCTTTCATGTGTGCCTGCTCATTGAGTGCATTTATACCCTCAGAAAGAGTCCCTTCAGAAGTGCATTCACTTAGTGTCAAATACTAGAATTTGCACTCATTCTGTGTTCTGAATTATTGTGTAGCTCCTTAAGAATAATTCTATTGTGTCATTACTGAGAACAGTAATAAGGTAGAGATACAACTCATAAGTCGTGACATTTTAACAGTATAAGAAAAATGATAGAAAAAGAAAACTGAAGTGTCATGGCTACGAATTTAGAGAATACTAAAAGTCTTTGAAATTGTCAGCATATTTTTCAAAATGGAGACTGTATTTCCACTAGCATCACTTCTTTTATTCAGGAATTGAATGTCTTTTTTGGGTATAAATCGGTGTCTTATGTTTTATTTTTCCTTTCTTAAAAAATAATTTATTTGCATCTCTTTTGAGGTTATCACCCGTCTTGAAGGGCTGGGGGTAAAAATCCTCACTAGCTTCTTTAAAACCATAAAATGATATAATGAAATATTTTTACCTTGAGAAGTTAACACTGGGTGGATGTTTAGGATCATGTGTTTGTGACTATAAGGAATTCTTCCCTGGCTTCTAATTTACTACAGACTCAGAAACCCATGTGTTGACCTACATGTCCAAGCTCAACAGATGAGTGTTTAAGAGCACAGGAAGTGACACAGAGAAACAAAGCAGGACACCTGTCTGGGTCACTGTTGACCCATCATGCTTAACTAATTTTTCAGTGATCTCTGACCCAGATTTCCACAGTTCCACAGGGATTTCTATCTTTCATCTAACAAATCCTACACCTGGATTCAATTAATGAAACAAAATTCAACTTTCTTATCTGATGAACTGAACTCCTAGAGCCATTGAGACAATTGTTTTATTATTGTATTGACAAATTATCCTGTTAACAACTGGCTACTACAAAAATCAATTAAAATCTTGGCTAACATGTTGGAATATAGTTAAATAAGTAGAAATGCGAATTAAAGAGTGAGTTAACAGTTTTTTAAAAATATAGTTTGTAAATTAATAGCAATTAGATCAAAATCAGAAATATATGTTGAAAATAAGAATGCTAAATTATAACATGCCATATGGAGCTGCTCTGTATTGAGTTTAATTTTATTTCATGCTGATGTACTTAGGAATATCAATGCTTTATTTCATTTTCTCTAACATATATTCCTAGATATCCTGTTTCTCCTGATTCCTGACTATTACAAGGAATTGGTAGATTCCCTGTAAACCACTCTGGTTTTTTAGTTTACTGGTAAACTACCTTGTAAAATATTTAATATGTGGAGTGAAAAATAATTGAATCTTTGAACCTTTGGCCATAAAAGTATTATTCATAATTTATTTATTTTTTATAGTAACTGCTTATGTGTTTAGAATATTGTGATAAAATCCATGGTCAAGGGAATTTAAAGCTGACTAGTATTTTGACTTTAGGAAGTAAAATAACTTGACTTTTATTCCTAAAGTCGAAAATTTGATTTTTCAAATTTTTGGCTCAACGAAAGTTTAACTTTTAGCTAGTAATAGAAAAAAATCTGATAATCTCTTGGTATTTACTTCTGCCCCCTGAATACCCCACTTAAATGATACTTTAAGTAAAAGTAAGTAAAATTAGGTGTGTTTATAAAGACCACATTATACTTAAGATGTTTAAGAATCATATAATTGAACTCTCAAAGCATACTTTCAGAAAGAATAATTAAAAAAAACCACCCCTGAGTGAGAGACAATGAAATCGTCAAGGAAAAAACTATACTTCTTCCAAAGTATATTACCTTTAATGGCATTAAAACTGTCTAAAAACCTGGTAAGTGTTGCTTTGGAGGGTGAGGGAAATTAATCTCACCTAGTCACTGATGTATTGCACTAGAAAGTGACTCGGAAATGTATAACTTTAAAATTTGAAAGAGAAGAAAGAATAATTTTACCACTGAGCATGAGCCAAATGTTTCATGGGGTTGTCAGTATGATATCTTTCCCTATAAATAGGTTTGCTGATTGCAGAAAGCACACATTTGTCTAAATGATACCTGATCTCTGTCATTCACTTAAATGATAGATTTTATTTTCTCCTGCAAGATGCCATCAGTCAGTTTTGAAGAGGGAATATTGATAATCAAGTGAAAGAACAATTCACCTCCAGAAGTACAGAGACACAAATGTGAATACAAAAAGTAAAAATAAAATGCAAAGAATAAAAGGATACCCAGAAACCATAAAGGCTGATGTGCAACCTAAGTTCAGCTTACTGATTGAGAACCTAAAATAATAAAAATGGATTGTTAACACATAGTGTAGACAACGAATACTTTCTCATATTACTAAGAGTGTTCTACATATATTCTGTTTTCTGGCTCTTTTAGCTGCTTGCTTCAGTGTCCTCTGTTTCAGAAGTTGCTGAAATAATTATCTAAACAGGTATTTAGACATTAGAGATGTGGTTTCCAAATAATTTTACAGCATTATGAACAACATAAGATATGCATTTTATCTTCTCCTTCTTTGAACTTTGTTCCAGCCCTTGCTTTTTGGCCAAGTGGGGGTTCACTCACTGAGAATTTCAGGGGTTCTCTTTGACATTATGCTGATCTCTACAGATGTCCTCGTCACATTGACATCTATCTAAATGCTACCTACTTTTTAAGACTAGCACCTGTTCCATCTCTACCATGAAACTATCCCTTTGCACTTCTGTGAGAATTGGCTTTCACTCCTCCAATTACTCTAGTGTTTGAAATTTGTACAACTCTTAAGAAGTTCACATAACGATACCATTCAAGGCAAAACAGAGAAATGCATTAGGAAACACACACAACAAACAAACACAGACCTATGCACAGAATTAGAGAAAAGTGCTGTCATAGTTGTCCTTTGCAGGCTCAGAATAAAGTTCAGAGATGCTGCCCTTTGCATAGATTTCCTTATCTCAGTAAAGAATAAGGGGCAGGAAAGCTCCCTTCAACCCCCTTCATAAGGACCCTAATCCCATTCACGAGGGTAGAGCCCTCAGAATTAATTGCTTCCCAAAAGATTCCACCTCTTAATACTCTTACTTTTGGGTGTTAGGTTTCAGCACAGGAATTTTGGAGAGACACATTTAGAAAATAGCAGAGAGCCATGGTCTCTTGTTCAATTTAAAACCCTGAGTCTGGTTTGTGACTTAGAATCTCTTTAATTAAGGGTAAGCTAGGTACAGTTGAAAAGTGACTCCACGGTAACATCACAAAGATACAAATCCAGTTCCTAGCTCAAAAGGCTTGTAGTCGTGTACCAAATGTACTTGGGAATGGTGATTACAGTGATTATTTCTGATATATTTTGATACTACCTCTAGTTTAACAATAATTTCTGGGGACCCGGAACACCTCTGTGCTCCCCTGGTCATAGCAGTGATTTATGGGAATTAGGTGATGGAGTTTCAACCAAATTCATCATAAGGTTCAGACCTTATTTCTGTATTTGTGTATTTGGAATGGACTTTCTAAACTTGGCACAAAAAACTCACTTTGGTTCCATAACCCATGGAATGGAGGCCCATTAATGTGGAAAGGGTCAATACAAAGCCTTCTAAATCACCTCTACTAATACAGTACTTTAAAATGAATACTGTATATCTCCATATATTTATGATTTAGAGTGACAATCATAGATTTGAATGCGGGGATGGGCATTTCCCTAATGTTTGTTTTTATTTTATTTAAAAAAGCACTTTGTAGAGATATAATTTACATGCAATAAAATTCACCTTTTTAAAGTGTGTACAATTCAGTAGTTTTTAGTATATTCACAATGTTGTGCATCAACACCAGAATTAATTTTAGAACATTTTCATCACCCCCCAAAGAAAGTTTGTACACATCAGCAGTCAGTTGCCATTCCTCCTTCGCTCTAATCCTAGAAACTACTAATCTATTTTCTGTCTCTATGGATGTGACCATTCTGGACATTTCATAAAAATGGAATCACACAGTGTGTGGTCTTTTGTGACTAGCTTCTTTTATTTAGCATAATATTTTCAAAGCTAATCCGTGTTGTAGTATATGTTGATATTTCATTATTTTTGAGTAATAGTCTGTTATGTGGATATACCACATTTATTCATCCATTAACTGTTGGATGTTTGAGTTGTTTCTTCTTTGGGTTATTACAAGTAATACTGCTATGAATATCAGTATACAAGTTTTTATGTGGACATATCTTCTCATTTCTCTTGGGTACATACCTAGGGATGAAATTTCTGGATCATATGCTAACTGTATGTTTAGCATTTTGAGGAGCTGCAAGACTGTTTTCTAAAGTGGCTGGAATAGTTTACATTCCTACCAGTAGTGCACAATGGTTCCAATTTCTCCACATCTTCACCAACACTTGTTATTGTCTGCCTTTTTTTTAATTATAGCCATCCTAGTGAAATAATATTTCATTGTGGTTTTGATTTCCATTTCTAGAATGATTAATGATGTAGGGCGTCTTTTAATGTGTTTATTGGCAACTTGCATATCTCCTATGGAGAAATTTTATTTTGAAATTATTTGCCCATATGAATTCTCTATATATTCTGGATACATGTCCTTTATAGGTATATGATTGACAAATTTATCTGCTCCCATTTTGTGGGTTGTGTTTTTAGTTTCTTTTTTGGTCAGCTTCACAGAGGCATAATTGACAAGTAAAAATTGTATATATTCAAGGAGTTCAATGTGTTATTTTGATATACATATACACTGTGAAATGATTGCCACAATTAAGCTAATGAACATATCCATCACTTCACATTGCTAACTTTTTTGTGTGTGATGAGAATACTCAAGATCTACTCTTTTAGCAAATTTCAAGTATCCAATTAATTATTATTAACTGTAGTCGCCATGCTGTACATTAGTTTCTAGATCTTATTTATCTTATAACTGCAGGTTTGTACCCTTTGACCAACATCTCCCTATTTCCCCAATCCCTCCCCTCTACCCCAACAACCAGTAACCACCTTTCTACTGTTTCTATGGATTCTATTTTTTTAGGTTCTACACATAAGTGAGATCATTCAGTATTTTTCTTTCTGTTTCTAGGATATTTCACTTATTACTTAACATAATATCCTCTAGGCTCATTCATGTTGTTGTAAATGTCAGCATTTCCTTGTTTATTAAGGTTGAATAATATTCATTGCATGTATATATATGTGTGAGTGTATATATTATGTATATATGTGTATATCTATCTATATCAATATATATCATGCTTTTTTTATCCAATCATCCTCTGATAAACACCTACTTTGTTTCTATATTTTATATATAGTACAGTGCTACAATGAACATGGGAGTGCAAGCATTTCGTTGAGATAGTGATTTTATTCCCTTTGGCTCTATGCCACTTCTAAACAGAAGTGGGATTGCTAGATTACATGGTAGTTCTGTTTTTACATTTTTGAGGACCCTCCATAGTGTTTTCCATAATGGTAGTAGCAATGTACATTTCCATCAATCAATAACTATATGAGAGTTCCCTTTCTTCACATATTTGCCAACTTTTGTTATTTGATTTTTTGATAATAGTCATCCTAACGGTTGAGAGGTGATATCTTGTTGTAGTTTTGGTGTGTATTTTTTTGACGATTAATGATATTGAGCACCCTTTCAAAAACTCTTTGGACATCTATTAATATATATCTTCTTTGGAAAAATGTCTATTTGTGTGTTTTTCCCATTTATTAATCCTGCTATTTGTTTTGTTTTGTTATGTTTTGTTTTGCTATTGAGTTGTATGAGGTCCTTGTATTTTTTGGTTATTAATCCCTTATCAAATATAAGGGATTGCAAATATGTCCTCCCATTCTATAGGTTGCATTTTCATAGTGTTGATTATTTTCATTGCTGTAAGAATTTCTTTTTAGTTCCACTTGTCTCTTTTTGCATTTGTTATCTGTTTTTTAGGTATGTCCAAAAACTCATTGCCAAGACCAGTAGAGCTTTCCCTCATGTTTTATTTTAGGAGTTTTACAGCGTCAAGTCTTATGTTTAAGTTTTTAACCTATTTTGAGTTTTTTGTTTGTTTTATTGTGTGTGTGTGTGTGTATGGTGTAAGATAAGGATCCAATTTCATTGTTTCTGTGTGGATATCCAGTTTTCCCAAAACCATTTATTGGAGAGACTGTCCTTTCTTCATTGTGTATTCTTTATGACTTTGTCAGAGGTTAGTTGACCTTATACGTACGGGTTTATTTCTGGCATTTCTACTCTGTTCCATTAGCCTATTTATGTTTTATGCCTGTATCATACTGTTTTGATTACTATAGCTTTGTAATATAATTTAAAATCAGAAAATGTGATGCCTCAAGCTTTGTTTTTTTTTTTCCTCAGAATGGCTTTGCTTTTTCCATTACTTCACTTTCTGTCTATGTTTTGAAAGCAAAAGTGAGTCTCTTCTAGGTATCATATAGCTGGGTCTTCGGTGTTTTTTGTTGTTGTTGTCATTCATTTGTTTTGTTTTGTTTTTAAACAGTGGTTTTATCTCTTTTGATTGAAGAATTTAATCAATTTCTATTCAAGATAACTATTCATAGGTAAGGACTTACAACTGCCATTTTGTTAATTGTTTCCTGGCTGTTTTGTAGATCTTTGTTCTTTTCTTCCTCTCTTGCTATTTTGATTTGATGATTTTCTGTAGTTGCATGCTTTGATTCTTCTCTCATTATCTTTTGTATATCTACCATGTTTTCACTTTGTATCTATTATGATGTTTACCTGAAGTAATTTATAGTTATATACTCTATTTTAAGCTGATAACAACTTCAATTGCCTACAAAAATTCTATACTTTTACTTCATTCCCTCCCCAAATTTTATGTTTTTGATGTTACAACTTAAATGTTTTAATATGTATCTATTAACAAATTTTTGCAGCTATTATTATTTTAATAGTTTTATCTTTTAATATTTATACTAGAGCTATAAGTGATTTACACATACAATGTACACATACTGTAATACCATTACAGTATTAGAGTATCCTGAATTTGACTATCTACTTACTTTTATCAGTAAGTTTTATACTTTTATATATTTTTGTGTTACTAATTAGCATCTTTTTGTTCCAGTTTGAAGAATTCCTTTGAACATTTCTAATAAGGCAGGTCTGATGCAGATGAACTCCTTCAGCTTTTGTTTGTCTGGGAATATCTTTATCCCCTTCATTTCTGAAAGATAGTTTTGCTGGAGAAAGTATTCATGGTGCAGTTTTTTTATTTCTTTCAGCGCTTTGACTATATTATTCTCCTCTCTCTCTCAGCCTGCTAAGTCTCTGCTGAGAAATCCATTGATAGCCTTGTAGGTGATCCCTTGCATGTTAGAAACCCCTTTTCTCTTGCTGCTTTCAAGATTCTCATTTTGTCTTTGATTTTTTTATTGTTTTATGTCTTGGAGTATTCTTCTGTGGGTTGAACTGATTGGAGAGGTTTTGTCGATTTGTTTGTTTGTTTTGTTTTGTTTTTGAGATGGAGTCTCTCTCTGTTGCCCAGGCTGGAGTGCAGTGGTGCAATCTTGTCTCACTGCGACCTCTGCCTCCTGGGTTCAAACAATTCTCCTGCCTCAGCCTCCGGAATAGCTGGGATTACAGGCGCATGCCACCAGACCCAGCTAATTATTTGTTTTGTATTTTTAGTAGAGACAGTGTTTCACCATGTTGACCAGGGTAGTTTTGAACTCCTGACCTCAGTTGATCTACCTGCCTCAGCCTTCTAAAGTACTGAGATTACAGGTGTGAGCCACTGTGCCCGGCAGATTGGAGAGTTTTAAGCGTTGTGTTCCTAGAAGTGCCTCTCTCCCCAGATTTAAAAACTTTTCAGCTCATTTCTTTAAGTTTTCTGTCCCTCTTATTCTCTCTTATCTTTCTGACATGTCTAAATTTAAATATGAGTTATCTTGATGGTGTTCCATAAATTATGAAGGTGCCCTTTATTTTTTCTCATTCTTTTTTCTTCTATTTTCAAATTAACTGTCTTTGAGTTAACAGATTATTTCTGCCAAATCAAGTCTGCTGTTGTTATTCTCTATTGCATTTTGCATTTTATTTACTGTATTTTTCAGATCCAATTTCAGTTTGGTCATTTTTTATGATGTTGTTCTCTTTATTGAACTTCTCACTTTGTTCTTGCCTTGCTTTTTTCAATTTTATTGAATTGTCTGTCTGTGTTCTCTTGTAGCTAGTTGAGCTTCCTCAAAACAATTACTTTAAATTTTTTGTCAGGCAACTAGCAGGTCTACATTTCTTTTGGACTTGCTATTGCTACTATGCTGGAATGATATTATCTTCCCTTGGTATTGTCATGTTTCCTTGATTTTTTTGTTTTCCTTAAAGACTTTTATTGTTGTTTTTACATTTGAATGAAAACTCACCTTTTCCAGTTTCTACCGACTGTTTTGGGAGAGAAATAACTTTACCAAAAAGTCTAGCTAGGGATTTGGGGGCTCTCATAACTTTGTTATGGATATACCTTCTCCACACCTCTTATACTTTCTTAGGGGGTAATTTTTAAGATTACACGCCTTCTGTAGATTTTACAACTCCAGGCTGAGTGTTGAGAGCTTTTCTTGTTTTTCACTGAGTCGGTACCCTGAAATGCTCACATTTGTGTGTTTTCTAAGCCTGCATTGTCAAGCTGGCTGTCTGCACAAAACGGTTACACTCACTGAAAGTTCAGTTTAGTAAGCTGGACTGGCGACAGTAAATGAGGTGCATGGAGTCAATAAAGTGTCCACAAACCAATTGTGAGGGGAAATCAGTAGATGAGACTTCCCAGGTAGCTCATGGATGGGCTTCCTGATGGAGTCTGTTGAGTGATAAGTAGGTTCTGTAGCCTCCTTTTCCTGCTGTCAGCCTTTCTTAATCACTCAGACATGCCAGCCAACTCAGTATTCTGATGTGGAGAAACAAAGATGTGGGCCTCTCAAGCAGCATCTTATATGGGTGCTCACTTATTAGGCTTTAACCTTCTCCTGTGGAAGAAATTGTAGGCCAAGGAGATCTCTCCTGGCACTGAATTGTGACACTTTTGTGGAGTGGTGACCTGAGAAGAGTGAAACTGTTCAAACTGTTCTTCTTACCATTTCCCATGTATTTATTTTCAGATATTTTGCTTCATTGGTGTGCTTGAACATTTCTGGATTCCTAGACTCCCAGAAAGGTACTGTTGTTCATGGGTAGTTGACAAAACTGATAAGTCTTTCAGGGGATGATGGTAGAAATCTCCTATTCTGCCATGTTACTGAAATCCCTGTCTTCTAACATTGATTTGTAATTTGGCTGCTTGACCAGAGATAATAATGGGTGAGTCTTGTGTAAGAGCAGGTGGTGACTCAAATTTCAGTTATTATTCAAGATATAGTTTATTTTTTTTGGAGAAAATAAATCATCTCAGAACTACCATTCTTATAATTGGTTTTTATTCCAATAAACTTAGAACATCAGAAACAACTTTCTTTTACCTGAAAATAACAGTTATAAATCTTTTCTGTATTCACTCTGAGCTAAGCCAGTTCTTCATCATTTTATCATAATTAAATCTCTTTAAACAACATGATCACCTTATTCTCTCAGAGAATATCACACTGATCCATTTATTGATGGAATCATGACAATAAATAATAGGACCCTGTGAGGATGAAGTACAAGTATTCTAGATGTCATGGTAAGAAACATAAGTGATCAAGAGTATATAAGAGATAAATCTCCTGAAAATCTACCCAAGTATTTGAGGGTCTAGTGGTCTGGGATGCACAGATAAGTTGTTGCATCACATACTCTTTACCTCTATGCCTAGAGGCTCTCTGAATCTTGGAGAAAATTTCACACTGGGTGTGCTCGCTGCATGCATTTATGGTGTAATTCTTAAGGATGTCAGCTTTATATGAATTCCAAGATAATAACTTCCTTATTTCTTCAGCTAATCTTGCTTCAGATCATTCAGATAATTTGACTTTATTACTAGTAAATCCAGTGTGCTATATGGACCATCTGGTGTTTTGGAACAAAATCATGCCCTTTTTGGAAAATAATCATTTTCCTCTAGAGAAAGTCTCCTGGCCTTTGCCCCTGGGCCCTGGCTGAGACTGATTACTTGGTCATCTATACCAGGAAGCCATGTGACCTGAGCTGTTCTTCATGATTTAATGCTTTGATATTTACCAAGTCCTAGAGGTGGACATCCTTATCACTACACAATAATCTCCATAATCAAATAGAAGTGATATAAATAAGACTATACTTAAATAGATCCTGAGAACACAAGTAAATTGTCTGAAAAGGTGGCTAACCCTCTTAGAAACTATACTTCTGATTCTTGCCCACACAAAAGGCATCATGGAGGATTTTCCCCTGCAAGCTGCTTAACAAAGAAAAAAAAATGCCTGGTTTAATATGTATTTTGCACACAAGATGTGGATTAGGAGTGGATTATTGCAGTATTCAAGCCATATTTAAAGTGGTTCTACAGTAAAATGAGTAAGAAAAATTTTCCCTGTTGGCAAAATTTTGAGCAGTGTATCTGGTGATATGGTTTGGATTTGTTTCCCTGCCCAAATTTCATGTCAACTTGTAATCCCCGGTGTTGTAGGAGGGGCCTGATGGGAGGTGACTGGATCATGGAGGCAGATTTCCCCCTTGCTGTTCTCATGATTATGAGTGAGTTCTCCTGAGATTCGGTTGTTTAAAAGTGTGCAGCACCTCCCCCTTCTCTCTCTTCCTCATTCTCTGGCCTTGTAAGACATTCTTGCTTCCTCTTTGCCTTCCACCATGATTGTAAGTTTCCTGAGGACTCCCCTGCCATGCTTCCTATACGGCCTGTGGAACTGTGACTCAATTAAACCTCTTTTCTTTATAAGTTACTCAGTCTCAGGTAGTTCTTTAGAGCAATGTGAGAATAGACTAATACATCTGGTGATCCTACTTTCCCACAGGAGAGGTACAAAATTGTACTATTTGATGCACCTTGCCTAATGTTTTGGCTTAACAATCAGAGACTTGAAAAAAGGTAAGATTGGAGGAATGGTAACAAGGAAGTTTGAGTTTTCTCAACTTGATAGGTGGGCATCTCAAAATAGGACCCAAGCAATGTTTTTATCTCACCTGAATACTCATTGAAAGATCCACTCCACAAAGGAGACTCTACATTAAGGTGGATATGATGACCTAGTTTGTGGAAGTCAGTCATTTTCTGTAGGAATCTCACTGTTTGCTTATGGGCTAGAGGACAAATGGCCATTGTGGCACGTCTAGATTTTATACTCGGGCTCAGCAGCATGGACTTTTTCTCAAAGGGACAATTGTGGATGCAAACTTCTTTTATTCATTTAGTTTTATTTAATTAATTTATTTATTTTTGAAATAGGGTCTTGCTCTGTCATCCAGGCTGGAGTGAAGTAGCAGGATCATTGCTCACTGCAGCCTCAATCTACTGAGCTCAAGTGGTCCTCCCACTTCAGCCTCCCAAGTAGCTGGGGCCACAGCCATGCACCACCATACCCACTTAATTTCTTTCTTTCTTTTTTTTTTGAGAGATCAGGTCTTGCCGTGTTGCCTAGGTTGGTTCTGAACTTTTGGACTCAAGCAATCCTCCTGCTTCATCCTCCCAAAGTGGTAGCTCACTTCTGAGTGGCCAGTATACTGACAGCAAAAATAAGCACTGATCTTTAATATAGGGTGGGATGATTCACTTTATTTGTCAACTTGGACAGAATATGGCACCCTTTTGGCTGGTCAGAAACTAGTCTAGATATTGTTGTGAAGTTATTTTTTGATGTAATTAATGTTCACAATCAGTAAACTTCAATTAAAGCAGATTAACCCTCATAATGTGAGTAGGCCTCCTCCGATCAATTGAAGGCTAAGAACAGTTTCCCAAAGAAGAAGAAATTCTGCCTCAAGACTGCAACATAGAAATTTTGCCTGAGCTCCTGGCCTGCTGGCCTGCCCTGTGGATTTTAGACTCAAGACTGAAGCATCAAATTTTTTTTTTTTTTTTTTTGGTCAGAGAGACAGGGTCTTTCTCTGTCGCCTAGGCTGGAGTGCAGTGGCACAATCTCAGCTCACTGCAACCTCCACCTCTCGGGTTCAAGCGATTCTTCTGCCTCAGCCCCCCAAGTAGCTGAGACTACAGGCATGTGCCACCATGCCCGACTAATTTTTGTATTTTTAATAGAGGCAGGGTTTCTCCACATTGGCCAGGCTGGTCTCGAACTCCTGACCTCAGATGATCCACCCGTCTCGGCCTCCCAAAAAGTGCTGGGATCACAGGCGTGAGTCACCGCGCCCAGCTGCAGCATCAACTCTTACCTGAATTTCTAGCCTATCAGCCTATCTTACAGATCTATACATTTTAGACTCGCCAGCCTCCACAGTTGTAAGAGACAATTCCTTAAAATAATCTCACATTCTCTCTTTCTCATCATATATATCCTATCGATACTGTTGCTCTATAGAATACTAACTGGTATAGATTTTGTTACCATTAGTGCTTAAAGATGATGAGTTTCTCTGAATTGGTTCTGAGGTGTCCAGCATTGGTTCTCTAATCTGATTAGATTTAAAGGCACTAATGTCTCTATTTCCAGTTGTAAAGATAGAATTGGTAGTTCATGGTATGACGTGGCAATAGAGATAGATTACCATTGGATAATCCTATTCAAAATCTATAAAAGGCAAGATTCTGAGTGACCATGTATTTGACACCTTAGAACATTTTTGTCAAACTAATGTGCATAATGAGATTGACCCCTAGTTGTACTAGGCAAAGTGATAATAGTAAAGGATGAGCTCAGGGACTCAAAACCCCAGGTGCTGCATGAAAATTTGTATGTTTGCCCTAAAAGAAATTCTTATCTTCTGTAGCTGCAGAGCTTAGATTGCTAAAAACCAAAGCCAAAGCCTCATTCTGTGAGTGGCTAAATTATCAGCCACAGTGAATTCCCAACCTCATAAGGTGGCTGCTGTGAAAGTAAGGATATTGGCTAAGAGAGGATAAGATTCTAAAAATTGAAATGGGGATATATGAGAAAACCCTGAGAAAACTGGGGACATTGAATCCCTAAATGCTGACGAGACTCATTGGCCAAAAAAAGCAACCTTTCCATTTCCATCTGAGGGATTAACTCTGCTTTGCCTGAGGAATGGTCTCACTTTATTCTAATTGTCATGCAAGATAATACTGAGTTTCCTCAGGACTTATCCCCATCACCCTTCTTTGTTTGTAGAGCTATAACCAGACTCAGGTTTTAGCAGGCCTCTAGAGAGGATCTACAAAGTGTGACCTATGAGGACATGCACTAAGCTCCAACTACATTATTTTTCCAATTTATGGAGATAAAACTCCAGGGAATATGTGTGGAAATGAAGTAATAGTGGAAGATATATACAGTGTGAGCAAGATGTATTTATTGGCATGAGCCTACTAAGCAGAGATTCTGAGTTTAATGTTGCTGTTTGAGAAGTTAGAAAGGGATCTGTTTGTTTGATTAGTTGGCTGAAACATGAACCAAAAGATGGCCTACGCTTAGTGAAGTTAAAATGCTAGATTTTCCTTGACACACTGTAAAGGAAGTTATCCAAATGCTCATGGAGATTCGTATGTTAGGGGGGGTTGATCATGTCAGATCTGCTCACTCACCCTAGGAGGAGGGTACGGAGGACATTCTTCACCATGACTGTGAAAAATAAATTTGAGAGTGCAGTCCTGCTAACTGGGAGAGCTCTGTGGTTGCTCTTTTCTGAAAATCAGTAATTACGGTGGGAAATGCTGCCAGAATGATGTTAGCTATGAATTTAATCTCTGTTTATCTAACTAGAGTTGCTACTTATAATTTTGGTTTTCTATTTTTTATTCCACATTCCCTTTGCCCTCAGTCAGCATCTCAGCTGTGAAGATAGTTTTACATGACAGATTTAACTAAACCTGCATTCCAAATAGGTCTGAGCTCTTTATGATTCTAATTTTACTGGAAGTAACATTTACCTAACTAGTATTATACCTAAATATTCAGTGGGCCATTGTGAGAAGGATGAGATAACTGGTAATAACATTGATTCCCATTCAATACAATGCCTCACTTATTTTTAAGTGAAATAATTTTGTGGTCATAAATAATCAGCACTGTGGTAGTGAGCAAGACAGTTAGGAGTCATTGGGTGCTGAAAAGAGGAGAATCTTTAATTGCCTCTTCCAGGCTTTTCTTAGCTTTTGGCTACATAATACCAAACTCTGCCTCTGTTTTCAGATCATCGTCTCCTCTATGCGTCTGTGTCTTCTCTTGGTCTCTCGTAAGGACATCGGTCATAGGATTTAAAATCTACTTGAGTAATGTGAGATGATTTCATCTCAAGCTTCTTACTAATATTTGCAGAGACTTTTTTTCCAATTAAGTTCACGTTTACAGGTTCATGGTCTTAAGACAAAGGCATATCATTTTTTTCAGGGGAACAGCATTAAACTCACTACATTCATCCATTCTTCTTGTTTTAAATCAAGAGTTCACATTAGTGCTGAGTAGTATCCCATTATTCCATTAAGTGGATATGCCATGATCTATTTACCCATTTGTTTTTTCTGTTGTTTGCTTGTTTGTTTGTTTGGAGGTGGAGTCTCGCTCTGTTGCCCAGGCTGGAGTGCAGTGGCACGATCTTGGCTCACTGCAACCTCCACCTCCCAGGTTCAAGTGATTCTCTTGGCTCAGCCTCCCGAGTAGCTGGGATTACAGCCGTGCACCACTATGCTCAGCTAATTTTTATATTTTTATTAGAGACGAAGTTTCTCCATGTTGGCCAGGATGGTCTCGAACTTCTGACCTTGGGTGATCCACTCACCTCGACTTCCCAAAGTGCTGGGATTACAGGCATGAGCCACTGCATCCGGCCTACCTATTTGGTTTTTGATCAACACTTAGGTTATTTCTAATTTATGGCTACTGGGGGACAAAGGCTGCACTGAACATTTCTGTAGAAGTCTTTTTTGTGGACATGTATTTCTATTGTGTAAACTTCCAGAAGGAGAAACCATCTGCAAATCTCCTCTCTGCACAATTCTCTCCACTTTGGTAATTTGCCCTGCAAATTCTATCAACCTTGCCTTACCTGAAACCTAACCTGTATCTTCAGCTCTTGGGTACCCCATCTCTGCCCTGCATCCTGGAGATGCTCTCCAAGCAGCAGGTGGGTCAATCACAGTGCTCACCCTTTCTGTTTCTTTGCTCTCAGAGATCACTCGCCTATTCTGACTGTTGTCAAATGATTAAAAACTGTTGTTTCATGTATTTTGTTCATGCTTTAGTTGTTTAAGTCAAGAGGTTATCTGTTATTATACCAAACTAGAAGAATGTGTGTTTTCTGTTATTATACCAAAACTAGAAGAATAGCTCTCCTTTTACAATATATTCTTTCGATTTAGAAATTAATTTTTCTTAATGGAAAAGACAAGCAAAATTAGACTTGAGCAGGTATGTCAACTTTTTTGGGTTGCTAAACAACAGGCTATATCTTTTAGAAATAGTTTTCTTCTTCCCTAGTTGGTCTTGTGGAAAACCTATTTAATATTTCTACTATCATGCTTGGATGAGCCCAGTTCATTCTAGGTTTTTGCCTCCCTGCCACAGTTTCTATAGGTTTCTGCTCTCTGTGTTGTGTGTTTGCATTATGTCTGTTTGTGCATCACCTACATTTGTATATCTATGTTTTTATTGATGGTTTTAAAGGGAAAGGAGATTTATGCTTCACAGGGCCATCTCTTTTCTGAATTATTCGGTACATCATTACTGATTTTCTCACTAAATATGAAACACAAA
Organism: Homo sapiens; assembly: GCF_000001405.40. Taxonomy (NCBI): domain Eukaryota; kingdom Metazoa; phylum Chordata; class Mammalia; order Primates; family Hominidae; genus Homo; species Homo sapiens. Next base: position 103,386,082 of record NC_000002.12, read on the forward strand.
GCAAGATTGCATTTGAATATATTTCAAACAAAACTGTATGCTCGCTGTATTTATACCTCATTATTTGGTTTGATTATATACATTAGCAAATTTCCTGGGTAAAATACCTAAAGCCTCGCTGAAATTGGCCCTTATTGTCTCTGGAGATAAACTCTAATGTAATACAATTAGAATGCTCATTAAAAATGAGCATTCTCTTGGGAATCTAAAATCAATTCAGTTTTTTCCATACTCTAAACAGTAGTATTTTAAATAAAATTACTTGCATGTATTTATAGAATCTGAAAGAAAAAGTACAAAATCAAATCTTTGGGCTATAATAAATTATTGAGTCAGTTATATATGTATGCCTATGTGTGTCAATGTACACACATGTGCAAGCAAATATATATACACACTTATATAGAGATATTTATAGAAATAAATGATATATGACATAAGTAATTATAAATACTTAAACACTTTATGACATTTATGATCAAAGCTTTATAAAATACATTATCTATACAATGACAGACCACATACGTGAATATGGTCCCAAAAGATTATAATAGCATTTTTAGCCAGGTGCGGTCACTCACATCTGTAATCCCAGCACTTTTGGAGGCTGAGGCGGGTGGACCGCCTGAGGTCAGGAGTTTGATACCAGCCTGGCCAACATAGTGAAACCCCGACTCTACTAAAAATACAAAAAATTAGCTGAGCGTGGTGGCAGGTGCTTGTAGTCCCAGCTACTAGGGAGGCTGAGGCAGGAGAATCGCTTGAACCTGGGAGGCAGAGGTTGCAGTGAGCCAAGATCGCGCCATTTCACTCCAGCCTGGGCAGCAAGAGCAAAGCTCTGTCTCAAAACAAAACAAAAAAAAAAGATTATAACAGTATTTTTACTGTATGCTCTCTATGTTTTGATACACAAATATTTACTGTTCTGTTACAATTGCCTTCAGTGGTCAGTACAAAAACATGTTGTACAGGTTTGTAGCCCAGGAGCAACAGGTTAGGTGTGTTTAAGGCCATACCACCTAGATTTGTGTAAATATACTCTATGGTATTCACATAATGACATATTTATCCTAAGGTGTCCCCAGTGTTAGCAATTGCATGCCTGTATAAGCAAATCTAGATATAAATAAGATTAATCTAAATAAGAATATAATGATTCGTGTATTCTATTACATATGAAGATTATGGTTCTTTGATATTCTGTAAGTGTTGCCATTACAACATAAAATGCCATTACAACAAACTAAAGTTGCCATTACAACAAAGCAACATAAAGTGTTGCTTTATTAAACAATTGGAAGAATAGGGTTAACCAAAAGAAATTCCCCCATAAATGTCTGCTTAGAACTAGCTTACCACTTTATTTTTATTTTTTAAATAATGAGGCAGGAGAAGTGCTTGAACTCAGGAGGCAGAGGCTGTGGTGAGCCGAGATCATGCCAGTGCACTCCAGCCTGGGCTACAAGAGCGAAACTCCACCTCAAAAAAAAAGAAAAAGAAAAAATAATGCTCAGAAAGTCTTATGAGCTTACATATAAGACTACTCAAATGGTAGCATAAACGTGATTCACTCTGACGAACTGAAAATATCACAAATGAACACCAACCTAAGACCCAACATTTTAGTACATTCTTTTTAGCACATTATCAAAAATCTTTGTAAGAGATCACTTACAGATTAGAATTTGCTTATTTGTCTTAAATTTTGAAAATATTTTCATTGCAAATTTAGTCTTATTTAACAAATTAGTTCTCAGAATTTTAGCATATCCTTTCCTTAAGATTTTTTTCATGAAAATAATGTATATTTACTACAGACTTTTAAATAATCAGATACTTTATAGAAATAACATTGCTTTCTTTAACCATGTTGTTCCTGGTTGGTGAATGGAATTCATATTTTTTTTTGTCTTGTACTTCAAACTCAATCAATATCACCTAGTGTGTTAAATGGTATACCTAGTTGTTTAATATTGTGCAATGTTGTAGCCATTGGTGCATGGGAGAAATAAAATCAATTTCAACGCCCACACATTGGATATGTAAGCAGACATAGATTTGAGATTACTGCGAGGGAAGATTGTGTAATGAAACGGCTGACTGCCATTTTCAGTGGCTAAGGAGAACTCTTTCCGTAGCTCCTGGTTGTGTGCAGGATGAAGAGCTTAACGCTGAGCACAGCACAAAGAACCCTCTACAAAGTAGCCCCTGCCTGCTTCTCCAGCTCATTGTCATCTTCTCCTTCACATACGTGACTGTGGCCACAGTCTAATTCACATGTCTGGAACATCCCATATGTCTGGCTCTCTGCTAAGAAAACTCTCTCAATCTCTGTGCCCTTCTCATTTCACCTCACCTGCCTTTCTTGCCCTGGGTGAGAGCAGTTCCCTAACACAGCATTTAGCATAGAATAATTCAGTTTAGTTTAACTGGCCATGCCCTCAATTTTCAGTATAGAAGCATGGTTCACAGTTAGTACTTGAGAGAATGGGCCCAGCAGCTGGGATCTTTGTCTACCTTTACTTCCATCTAAATCTTCAGAAACTTGTCATCTCCAGGCCTGGCAGCTTCTTCAGCCCCCCCACGAAGAACAGATATAAATGATGAAAAAAATGTGTTTCTCTCTGTAACAAGTAGTAAGCTATAATCTAGAATCAAAGTGACCTCATTTCTAATGTTTCACACATTTTTTTTTTAAATCATGGAGCTATTTCTACATCTAATAAAGATGAAAATTCCCAATTGAAAGTCTCAGTGGAATTTTATATCCTCACACCTTTGTGATATGTAAAAGCTAATCATTTGCACAATCATCAAGCCATATGTAGTGGCGTCTTTCTGTTCAGGGCCCCATGACGGGCACGGCAAAAGAGCAAATTACACAGACATGATCCTGTCGAACAGTTTTCAGTCAACTCTCATCAATGGAGAAGTCTGTCCTGGTACCTCTCCTTGCTTTCATTCTTCACCAGAAAAACTCCAAAATGAGGATGTGGTATCCTCATGAACGCCCATGATGTTTATGCTCTTTAACCAGAAACTTCGCGAAAGAGGCCTCTTTCCTTTCTTTTCTCTTTTTATTTAATTCCTCTTTAATGTATGACTGACCGTCTCTGCCCACTGCAGGACTCTGTTCAGCTCTTTAGTTGTGGAAAATCTTCTTCCCAGAGCCCTGGCTTCACACTTCAGAGGGCACAAATGGGGTCTGCCCTGTCCACCAGCAAAAATGAGCAGTCTTTGCCCCACCCCTTGCCAAAACACCCATTTTAATTTTTCTATATTTCATTATTTATTTATTCTGAGACAGGTTCTTTCTCTGTCACCCAGGCCAGAATGTGGTGGCACTATCACAGCTCACCGCAGCCTCGACATCCTGGGCTCAAGTGATCCTCCCACCTCTGCCTCCTGAGTAGCTGGGACTACAGGCAGGTACTACCATGCCTGGCTAATTTTTGTATTTTTGTGTGAAGACCGGGGCTCACTCTCTTTCCCAGGCTAGTCTTGAACTCCTGGGCTCAAGTGATCCTCCTGTCTTGGCCTCCCAATGTGCTAGGATTACATGTGTGAGCCACTGCACACAGCAGAATATCCATTTTTAAACCGAGCAGTCTCAACCTTCTTTTTCCCCTCCGTGAAATTGCTTCTGCAGAAGGGCCTCTCGCCCCTTCCTATGTTGCTCAATTTCCATATGGAAGCTGCTGTTTTTCTACTGGGCAAGTGCCCATGGCAGACCTTAGAGTTCTCACCACTCTCCAAAAGCCTAGGGCCCAGAGAATCTCTCTCTGGGGGTTTGGGGGTGTAGCCCTGGTGGGAAAAGTGCAGGGTGTGGAATGGAGTAATGGCAAGGCCTAAAGAATGGACTTCCTCTAGGCCTGATATCTAAGGTGAAAGCCTAGATTTTAATCTCCAAGAAAACAGCTTTCTTAAGAAGAGAGCACAGAGACAATCTGTTCATGAGGCCTTAGGTAGCTATCCAGGTGTTTCCTAAACTGTTCTCTACAGATATTGATGTAGGCTATTTTTGTTGTTTGTTTATTTTGGTTTCTTTCTGGAAAATCAGAATAGATTAAAAAAGCAGTTAAATCAAATTTCTACCACTCCCTAAAAGGGCACACTTCATTTTAGGCCTGTGCATTTTCTAATGTCTCTCATAGTTCCCTCTGCCTCTCTACATTTGGCTACTTCTAGTTCATCTGGTCCTACCTTAAAGGTCACCACCTTCAAGACGCCCTTCAAAATCCCGCTGTTCTAGATTAGGTGCCTGTTCTGTGAAACTTGGCAACACCCAGCTTTTGTCTGTCATGATTGTTTGTTGAACTGCAATACACTCTCCTGTTTGATCGTCAGTCTCCCCATAGGATCTTAAATTGCCTATGATTTTGTTTTTTACCACTGTGTTTCTGTCATCATTAAAAAATTCTGTTCATATTTTATGTTCAATATGTATTTGATAAATTAAAGTGCATAGAACATGTTTGCTACAAATTTGTCTCTTCTTCCTCTGCTCTTATTATTAAGGATATAGAAATGAAAGTTTCTTTCCACTGATATTTTAACAGAAAGATGATATGAAAGTCTCTTCTAGTTAAAACCATGTTATAAAGTATAATTGAGCCAAAATTTTTGACGTCTAATGACTGAATTAGATTGCCCATTCAGGGTTAAATTAGAAACAGTAACTTAGAATGATAGAAAAACACAGATGATGAAAAAATAGGAAGCAAACTTTAAGAGCCCAGTTTATGTTGCGTGTGTGTGTGTGTCATAAAGCTACACATATATAAACACACTTACCAAATAAATTCCCTTTCCTTAAATAAATTCCAGCCTTTTTAGCTATAAATACAATAAACAAGAGGTATCCATTGGAGAAAGAAATAACCACGGATTAGGTTAAATGGGAGGATTTTAATATAGTAATTAAAAATATTATTGTTAATATTTTATTTACACAGCCATATAGTTACGCAAACTCCAAATTTCCACACTGCTATGTAGAAAACAGATAGCTTAGCGATTACTGTCATTGTATCATTTTTCTCAAATATAAAGGCTGAAGTAATTTGTGGATATAAAATTTCCAGATATCCAGATGAGAATAAATACAACATATTAATAAACTTACAGTTAAAAGATTATAAAACAAATTAGAGTTCTTAATGTTTGTCAAAGTTTGCATAATTATAATCAATAAATTATTTAATAAAGATGAAAACTATAAGAGTTTTTAAGGATTTGCAATATAATATGGCTTAATTATTTTATTAAATATTTAACTTGAAAAACACCTTAACTTATATTTGTAATTAAAATATTTCTGTTGTTAAAAGTTTGTAACAATTTTGTGCAAAAAAAAATTTAAAAAATTTTGTTTTAATGTATGTGATATCTTGACATTTTTCATTTTGCTTATTTTTAAAAGAAATTACAAATTCTACAGTCTGCATTATAATTTATATTTGTCTATTTAATCAGCAACATAATTATTTATACAGACAATAAATGTCTAAAATTAATTTATTTTACATAATCATTAAAAATGACAGCATATAATTTTTAAATTTGTCTTCATTTCTGTAAGATATTTCTCCATATTTATTAGTAATTTGTTTAGCATAATTTAATAATGAGATGTGGACATATATTTACCGAAACTCAAAATTTCCTCAATTTTTTGTAGAAAACACATAGCTTAGTAATCACCGTCATTGTATCATTTTTTAATATGGAGGCTGAAATAATTTGCAGGTATAAAATATACTGCTTCATGGCCGGGCACAGTGGCTCACTCCTGTAATCCCAGCACTTTGGGAGGCTAAGGTGAGCGGATCACGAGGTCAAGACATCAAGACCATCCTGGCTAACATGGTGAATCCCCATCTCTACTAAAAATACAAAAAATTAGCCAGGCGTGGTGGCGGGTGCCTGTAGTCCCAGCTACTCGGGAGGCTGAGGCAGGAGAATGGCGTGAACCCGGGAGGTGGAGCTTGCAATGAGCCAGATCGCACCATTGCACTCCAGCCTGGACAACGGAGCAAGACTCCATCTAAAAAATATATATAAATATATACATAAATATATATATATAAATATAGACATAAATATATATATATAAATATAGACATAAATATATATGCATAAATATATATATGCATAAATATATATAAAAATATATATAAATATATACATAAATATATATAAATATATACAAAAATATATATAAATATATAAAAAAATATATAAATATATATACACATATATAAATATATATACATACATATATAAACATATATACATAAATATATATGTATAAATATATATACACATAAATATATGTATGAATATATATACATAAATATATATGTATAAATATATATACATAAATATATAAAGATATATACATAAATATATATAAATATATATACATAAATATATATAAATATATATAAATAGATATATAAATATATATATAAATATATAAATATATATATAAATATATAAATATATAAAAATAGATATATAAATATATATATAAATATATAAATATATATATAAATATATATAAATATATAAATATATATATAAATATATATAAATATATAAATATATATAAATATATAAATATATATATAAATATATATAAATATATAAATATATATAAATATATATAAATATATAAATATATATATAAATATATATAAATATATAAATATATATATAAATATATAAATATATAAATATATATATAAATATATAAATATATATAAATATATATAAATATATAAATATATATAAATATATATAAATATATAAATATATATAAATATATATAAATATATATAAATATATAAATATATATAAATATATATAAATATATATAAATATATATAAATATATAAATATATATATAAATATAAATATATATAAATATATAAATATATATATAAATATATATAAATATATAAATATATATATAAATATATATATATACTGTTTCATTTATATCTGCTATATATGAGACTGTTTTCCAAGTTACATGTCAAGGCAAAGTTAAGATCTTAATGACATTTATAAGAAATTTTTAACATGAACTTTAGAATTCAATAAAATAAAGCTTTTTTTCACCACCCTACATAAACACAATCATGTGATTTTTTTTCTATGAAAGTGTTTCTCATTTGAGATGAATAAGAAAGTATTAAGAAAGGGAATGAAAATCTGTACAGTCAAGAAAAGAATCGTTTTATTAGCTACAAAATATACAAAATATCATATTCAGAAAAACTTTTATCATTTTTAATTATGTTGGAAACCTAAATGTCATGTTCAGTGATAAAAGGTAGAAAAGCAAAGCAGCTCGCTGTGATTTTGATTTGCATTTCTCTAATGACCAGTGATGATGAGCTTTTTTTCATATGTTTCTTGGCCACATAAATGTCTTCTTTTGAGAAGTGTCTGTTCATATCCTTTGCCCACTTTTTGATCGGGTTTTTTTTTTCTTGTAAATTTGTTTAAGTTCCTTGTAGATTCTGGATATTAGCCCTTTGTCAGATGGATAGATTGCAAAAATTTTCTTCCCATTCTGTAGGTTGTCTGTTCACTCTGATGATAGTTTCTTTTGCTGTGCAGAAGCTTTTTAGTTTAATTAGATACCATCACATGCCAGTTAGAATGGCAATCATTAAAAAGTCAGGAAATAACAGATGCTGGGGAGAATGTGGAGCAATAGGAACACTTTTATACTGTTGGAGGGAGTATAAATTAGTTCAACTATGTGGAAGACAGTGTGGCGATTCCTCAAGGGTCTAGAACCAGAAATACTATTTGACCCAGCAATCTTATTACTGCGTATATACCCAAAGGATTATAAATCATTCTATTATAAAGAAACGTGCACACGTATGTTTATTGCAGCACTGTTCACAATAGCAAAGACTTGGAACCAACCCAAATGCCCTTCAATAATAGACTGGATAAAGAAAATGTGGCACATGTACACCATGGAATACTATGCAGCCATAAAAAATAACACGTTCATGTCCTTTGCAGCGACATGGATGAAGCTGGAAGCCATCATTCTCAGCAAACTAACAAAAGAACAGAAAACCAAACGCCACATGTTCTCACTCGTAAGTGGGAGTTGAACAATGAGAACACATGGACACATGTAGGGGAACATCACACACCAGGGCCTGTCAGTGCGCTAGGCAAGGGATAGCATTAGGAGAAATACCTAATATAGGTTGATGGGTGCAGCAAACCACCATGGCATGTGTATACCTATGTAACAAACCTGCATGTTCTGCACATGTATCCCAGAACTTTAAGTATAATAAAAGAAAAAAACAACAAAAAGAAAAGCAGCAGGTTACTTGTGCAACATTTATTATTAAGGCAAGTACATTTTAAAATGTGAGAAGCATAAATGGAAAAAGTAAATTAGCTTGATGACAGAATCCCACATAACCACACCTTCAATCCCAACAGTTTGGGGGGCCTTCAATCCCAACACAGGCTGATCGCCTGAGGTCGGGAGTTCGAGACCAGCCTGACCGACATGGAGAAACCCCGTCTCTACTAAAAATACAAAAATTAGCTGGGAGTGGTGGCACATTCCTGTAATTACAGCTACTCCAGAGGCTGAGGCAGGAGAATCGCTTGAACCCGGGAGATAGGGTTTGCGGTGAGCCGAGATTGTGCCACTGCACTTCAGCCTCGGCGACAAGAGCAAAACAAAAACAACAAACAAACAAAACCCAATTTTCTAGATATTATCTAGCTCGCTTCTAAAATACTTTCCAGGTAACTATGTGCTTAGTCCTCTATTATTATAAAAGGCAATTATCCGAAGAAGCACATATGTCTAATAGAATGTAGCTGATTGGGTGAGTGTAAGAGTGTATTTAGGTTCACTTTTATTTAAGAACTTATATTACATTTTTGGAAATTTACATGATTGCATAGCTTTCCTTTATCCAGTATGCGCAACTCAATATCCTTGATGAGATTTATAGTTTGGACCACTTCGATATTCTTTCCTGTAAATTACTTCACCTTCTATTTTGCATCACTCAGGAGACTGCATGTCGAACACAATGCTCTGATAACTGTGTGACCTGTATTCAACACAGTGGAAATTTGACTGCACAATTACAACACTTTCCCTGTGTGCACATCCTATGATTGACTTAATCCCAAAACCATAATGTGGTCAAAAAGCATTATAGGTCTCTCTCCTTGCATGATCAACATGCGAGCCACCATGATTTGGTAGTAGCTGACATATAGAGTCATAATTTTGATCCCTGAAGGAGGTGTTTTAGACAACCCTTGGCTTGATTCCCTCCCCAGGTCAGCACTCTTGAACTGGGGGCTCTCACTGCTTTGGTGAGATGTGGCAGGTGGCGAAGACAGTGTGATGATGAAGCAATGGCGTGTGTGACTCAAGGCAGGTGTGAAGGCAGTGCCATGCGTCTATGCTGAGGAAGCTCAGGCCATCCCAGGATATTTAAGCCTGTGGGCACTTTCTCCATTTTCTGGCCTCTCAAGGAGAAGCCCCTCTCAAGCCCCATGAGTAAAAATGACATAAGCCTGTATTTCCCACTCATGACAAACTTAGTTTCCAAACAGGGGTAATGATTTATCTTACTAATTTTTAATTTCCCTTCTGCTCCTTTGTATTCCTGAGTTTGTTTCTGAATTTAAATATTATGAAATTATTTCATCAAATGCTGAATTATTATTTGTTTAATTATAATAATGACACTAAACTCTCCAAACACAGTTTTAGACATAAATATACATAATTAGGTATAATATTAGAAAATGTATCTTATAAAATATATTTATGAACCAAACTGTATTCCCAAGTAATGAAGTAGTATAAGATTTTGTTTACAGAGATGACTGGTTAGAAGTAAAACATTATGCAAATGTGTGTATGCATGTCTTGGGTGTGTGGACAGAGAGAGATTGATTTGATTAAAGAGGGCAAAATGCCAATTTCAGAAGGTGCTCTGAAGCACCACTCTCCAAGTTCATGCTCTCATTATCTCTCTCTTCCTCTTTCTATCTTTCCTCTCTCCTTGCTCCAGTTTCTCTTGCATACTTCTGCCACAGTGCCCTTTTTAAATTCAAATTTGATCTTGTTTCTCTCATGCTCAAGGTCTTTCAGGATAAAGTAACACTTTCTCAGCAGGCTTCTGCCTCACTTCAGCCATTCCTGGCTTATACACTCTTTTTCTGGCCAGCCCTGGCTCCCCACTGTGCCAGAGCACGGATCATCTTGAGCATTTGCCTGTGTGGTTGCTCTGTCCCACCCTTGTCACTGCATTCTTGGTCACTTTGTCCCTGGTGCTGCCATGACACTTGCCTTGCTGAATTGCAGTGATTTGCATCTTGTTCTCATTTGTCTCCTCCCTTAGAGAATGTGCTTCCTGGGCCAAAGTCCTTTGATTTTTATACTTCTGTTCTCAGGGTCTGGGGTTAGTAAGTGCTCATTAACGTAAATAAAATAAAATAAAAAATAAAAAGACTGATTTAAATACTTGGAAAATATGTTCCAGATAAAGAAAATAATATGTTCAATATAAATCAAGAAACAAAAATTTATTCTCAGAAAAATCTTTTTAAAAGTTTTTTCTGAAAACTTGAATCAGTCCTTGACAGAGATGGTCTAAGCTTTATGAGCAACTTTTTCTACAGCTGATTTCCATTTTTGATCTCGAGAATGTTCACTTTGCTCTCTTTGACTTTTTGACTTTTGGGAATGTGACTTTCTCAGGTAAATACTATATTTAGTACCGAGGATATAGAAACTCCATTGTAAAATTACTTAGTAACATGCACAGAAGAAGTTGGTATAGACTGAATGTTTTTGTCCCCCAGGAATTCATATGTTGAAATCTTCACCCCCCTGAGGTAATGTATTAGGAAGTGGGGCCTTTGGGAAATAATTAGCTCATGAAAACTGAACTCAGGAATGGGATTAGTGCACTCATAAAAGATATCCTACAGAGCCCTCTCACCCCTTCTACCTGAGAGGACACAACAAGAAGGCACCACCTATAAACCAGAAAGTGGGCCCTCACCACGCAGTGAATCTGCCAGTGCCTTGATCTTGGACTTTACAGCCTCCAGAACTGAGATAAAAAAATTTCTGTGGTTTATAAACCATTGGCTCTATGGTATTTTGTCTCAGCAGCCTGAACAGACTAAGAAACAGGCTATCAATAAATATTGTTTTACAAAGAAATGGAGGAGTAGACAGAATCCATACTGTGGATGCAGCTGATGAGGCAGGCATTTCTACTCAAGGGCAGGACAATGCAAAGCAATGAACCTCTCCTTCCTTCTCTTTCGATGATACTATTGAAAACCCATCCAGGCTGGCCTGGAAACAAGTGAAACGTAGCAAGGAGGTGAGCTGTGGCACAGAACAATAGGGCTGTAGGGGACAGAGTTGTTTCATAATGTGTCTTCTAGAAGGGCAAGAGTCCTCATGGCCAAGTAAAAGTCATCTGTAATGGGATGTCAATAGTTTGTGGACTTCTTGTTATTGTATTTGAAGAACATTCAAAAGAGGCTTTTGAGTTACTCAAACAGAAGAAGGTCACTTTCGTGATGGATAATCTCATGGCATTAAGAACATCACAGTTTTAGTCTAAGACACTGGCTGAAAAAAATAGGAGGAAGTGGTCAATCCATTCAGAGGCTTTGTGCCATAGGATTTTTAGGACTCGGATCTTATATTTTATAAACTACTTTTTGATAGTCCTAAAGGACAACCTGATCTAGCCATTCTAAGCTGTATGTGAAATAAAGAGAAAAACAGCTCCTGGGAAGAGATGTTCCCTGATGGTTTAGAAGAAGCCAAATTAGAAATCAGAAAGATTATACATAGACCTTTAAAGAACAAGGACTTCTCCCTCTAGTTTCCTCTCTAGTTCATCCAATTCACAAAAAATGAAAAGATGTCTGCTTCTCCACTTTACCTCAAGCAGATCATTTTCCCTCTAAATATCAGTAAAATCCCAGCATGAAATAAATGAATTTGAATTTACAATAGCTCCGTGAACCGGTGCAGGGTCAGATGCTGACACAATGGTGGAGGGGCGCTGATGCCGAACTTACGGATAATACTGTCACCTGGTGTATGTGTTGACTTTGAGACTGATGAGAGGGCAGCCTCGGATATGTCAAAGAGGATGGCAATAATAAAAAGTAACAGGAGCACATAAGAGAGTTGAGGAAAAGCTAAAAACACAACTGCTGTACAGTGACATAGGGCATAGGCGTCTTGCATTTTGACCCATTAGAGTTATTGCAATGCTGATCTGAGGCATGTATGCACATAGAGACAAGGAACAAATTGGAGTTGGCAAGAAGTTCACCTTGCTCACCTCTAAAACTCCAACAAAAGGAATTGAAAGGCTGGGGCTCACAACTTATTAAAGACACTATATTGAAAAGGATTTGCCTCAGTCACCCAGGGACTTGCCTGAAAACAGCACCTAGACAGCAGGATCTTAGGACTCAAGACAATGGGAAATGTACAATTGATCTTAGGTTATAAACAAAGGCTTTTGTATTTAATGAGTATCGATTCTTTTGAGCATGGAAAAGTCTCAGTAATTCAAAAAATATATATTTTAGCATTTGAATTATGTAGGAAAGAGATGTGAGCTGAGGTTTACCTTCTAACTCTTTATAAATGAGAGTACAAGGAAAGGGAATACTTGAAATACTTAAAGGAACAAACCATTTCCAAATATCCTAAAGCACTTTGCACTCATTCTCATTTTTAAAAAGTATATGCAAATTGCAAATAAGTTTTAACCATATATGCAAATTGCAAATAACTTTTAACCATTTATTACCTAGCATTCTGTAGCAATTTCTTTTTTTTTCTTTTCTTTTTTTTTTTTGAGAGGGAGTCTCGCTCTGTCACCCAGGCTGGAGTGCAGTGGCACGATCTCGGCTCGCTGCAAGCTCCGCCTCCCGGGTTCACGCCATTCTCCTGACTCAGCCTCCCGAGCAGCTGGGACTACAGGTGCCTGCCACCATGCCCGCCTAATTTTTTTGTATTTTTAGTAGAGACGGGGTTTCACCGTGTTAGCCAGGATGGTCTTGATCTCCTGACCTCGTGATCAGCCTGCCTCGGCCTCCCAAAGTGCTGGGATTACAGGCGTGAGCCACCGCGCCCGGCCAACAATTTCTTTAGGAAAAAAAAATGTTGCCCTATTTTAGGATAGTGCAAATAACTTGAAAATACTACTACTTTAATTCAATTTCATATTAGAACTATTAATTGGCTTAGGTTGGCTTCCTCTAATTGGTTGAAGATACTAATTTTACTATTTAAGAAACAGTTCATACCTTTTTCATAATTTTTGCAAGCTTATACGTGGAGGGAGCTTTTGAAACAGAAAAGGAGTCAGTGGCATTTTCTTCTCTTTCTCTAAAAAAAAGACGAGTTATTTCCAAATTTCTAAATACCTCCTGTCTGTTTTTTAGAGAAAGAGAAGAAAACACCATTGTGTTTTTTTGTTTTGTTTTTTTTTTTTTTTGAGACGGAGTTTCGCTCTGTCGCCCAGGCTGGAGAGCAGTGGCGCGATCTGGGCTCACTGCAAGCTCTGCCTCCCGGGTTCACAGTCCTGCCTCAGCCTCCCGAGTAGCTGGGACTATAGGTGCCCGCCACCACGCCTGGCTAAAAAACACCACTGGGTTTTAAAGCATTAAGCATTGAGTTGAATGCTTTAAAATAACTAGCGGGAGGACAAGAGGAATAAAGAATTTTTACTGTTTGTCTGATAAAGGTAGACTTTTCCTAAGTATATGTCCTGGTATATTCAAGCATGTGGGCTTCCCTGGTAGAATGGTTATATTCCAATACTTCAGATAGATAGAGAAAATCATGATTAGCTTCCATGAGAAAAAGGTCCATCAAAGTTACAAACCTAACAACAATAACATAAAACTATTTACTTCCCAATTTCTCTTGCACCAGTCAGTACCTCAAACCTTAGCACTTCATGACTGGACTATTAAAAGTACTCAGTTGATCTTTTGTGCTCTTGAGTCTAGATTGTCTTCAAGCATCACCTTCATCACATCCCTGTCCTGTGCAAAGGACTTCCCCAGCCTGAGACCCTCAGCCCCTTACAAATCAGACCCTGCAGGATCTAAGCCCTGCCCTTTCATACTCACTGCTCCCAACAGAGTCCTTGTAGTTCAGGACAACTACTCAGGGTTCTTGAGTAGACTTCTCTCCATAATTTACACTTGCTCCAGGGCAAATACACAATATGCACACTATATATAGAACACTATATGCTTAAAAGGAAGATGGAATGATCTGGGGTAAAGGGAGTATTTTAAAACATATGAGATTTCATAGTATCTCCAATTATTATCTCTATGGCTTTGTTGGGAAAAAGAACAAGCAAACATAAAAAATGTATCTTTGGCTATAAGAAATAAAGTGTGTGTGTGTGTGTGTGTGTGTGTGTGTGTTTGATTTCATTTTGTTCATTAAAAGTTTCCTGGAGAAAAACAGTAATATATGTGTTGACAGTTATGAAAAATTCTCATGTTTAGTATTCTTATGCACTATTATGAGGTGGGTTATGGGCATAATGAGGAAAACCTAACTAGTAGGCTGAGCTTATTCTTCTTGTCTAAATTATTAAAGGAGATACTCCTTATGGTTCATTGCCTGCATTATTCTTTCTTTTGTGGCAGGAACTGAATATCTTGAGTTCTCATCTGGTCGGTAATAATCCACATACCCATCATCATCTCTTATCCAGCACATGGGCAAATTTTACATGATTATGTTATGGAGGAAGCTCACAAGAGCATGTATGTTGTACCTACTGAAGCGGGGGTGAAGCCGAGGAGGCACCTCGCATGGTATAAAAAAGGCTAAGCTGGCGTATTCTTATAAGTTATACTAAAATTCTTTATTTCTTGACCCTGACACTAACTAGTTGTATAAAAGAAGGTAAGTTATTTACTGTATCAATCAGATTTTTCTTTGAAGAAGATTATAACCCTTTTGAATTTATGATATTAGAAGGTAGATAGGTCATATAATTTAAAGCTATTAACTTCATACATTCAAAGTAATTCTGAAAATGTCTACATTCTTTAATCTTATTTAGAACTGATGTTCCCTCAATTGCACTGAGTATATCAAAGAACTTATTTTTTTTTTCCTCCTTTTGACCTGGAGCTCTCTCCTTAAGAAATCTTGATATTGCTGATCTCGGTGAAGAATGTTGTCAGCTTTAAAC
The DNA here is from genome assembly GCF_000001405.40 of Homo sapiens. NCBI lineage: Eukaryota > Metazoa > Chordata > Mammalia > Primates > Hominidae > Homo > Homo sapiens. Next base: position 103,401,378 of record NC_000002.12, read on the forward strand.
TCATTCTATATGTTTCAAATAAAATCATTTGAAGTTAAGTGCAATGTAAATTTTTTAACTCCCTGTCACTAATTTAAAAGAAAAACAAAACAAAAAAAAGATTAGAAAAAGAATCTAGAGAAATGCAAGAAATAAAAAAGATGTGAGAATCAAGGGCATTTTAAATAGCAGAAAGTAGTCCCAAATGTACGTTACTGGAAGGGGACTAGCTAATGGGTTTTTAAGTGCTTATTTAACAAATGCCATAAATATAAGGACTTAAGTAACAAAAAAGAGAATTTATACTAAAGCAGCCATAACAAGCTGAAGTTAATTCATCACAACTTTCACATAGGCTTTTGTAGGCAGTTGGCCAGGCCCAGCACATTATCTATTTGACTCACTGAGTCACTGCAGCTAATGGAATTTAGCCCCATGTTTGTTGTTGCCATGGTGATGCGATATTCTCAGGCATGTCATGTTCACAGATCAGTAGCAGCAGCACGGTTGCAGACACACAACTGCTCTCAGCCTTTGACCATCAACAGGAATTCACTCTGCAGTTGGTCTGCCAGGAAGGAAGTCGGCTCAGGGGAAGGAGCTCTGGGCTGAGGAGAGGGCCCTTCCTTCTTCCTTTGTCATCGCAGTGCTATTATCATTAAAATAACCTTGAATTTTCATGAATTCGCTCATTCACAAACACTGTCAAAGAAGGTGCAAGAGTTCAAGAGAATCCGGAGGGTCAAAGAGAGGACTAGTTTTAAATCTGTGCCTATTGAACCTGGAAATGACATCGTCTGTTACATATAATCTTATTCTTACCATAGCAAATCAAATCGTGCTGACTGGCACCAACGTCCAAGGCGATTCAGCACCATGAAAGGTTACTGGGAGCAAAAGGGTCATATCTTTTGTGGCACCGCTCTGAGAAATAGACACAGACATGTGTGGGAATATTCTACAAAGAATAGATTTCTCCCCAAAGTGAAAAGCAAATCCTGCCAGCAATCTATAAAGGGAGTGGGTATTCTATGCTATAGATATGTTCAGATTTCAAACCAAAGATATAATTTTGAGCTTTTCAAGATATAAAATGCTTGAGCAAGACACAGGTCTTGTGCAAGATGTTCTAATTTGTATACAAGAAGTGATAAAGAGTAAAAACAAGATGAATTTCCTGGAAAGTATTTTTGCCAGTTGGAAATATGCTTTTATTGCATTATAATTTCCATGAGGGGTGAAATACGCAAGTAAAGCAGGCGAACTTAAAGACACTTCTGTAAACATTTGTCTATAACTCTAGGCCCTAATGCAAGGTCTGCAGTTAGTGATAACAACACAGCTTCACATTTCCTCAGGATCTTCTTTTATGCCGGGCTTGTACTGCTGGTCTAGAACACCTCAATAACGACTCCCTAAGCTTCATGGGGAATTGCTGAGGAATTTGGTTCTGGATACATACCTCAGAGGTGAAACCTGAAATCCAAACCAAGACTTCCAGAGTTAGTATTTTAGTTTTGCATTTAATTTCTGGGTACATGGGGCAGGATGATCAGGTTGGGGAGACTGGGGAAGTGAGGGTGGTGGCTTCTTAATTATTTTTGCTTTTCTTCTAGCACAGCAGTGAGAGGATATTACGTTGCAGAATTTGGTCAGAATATGAAGTTTGGAAGACCCTATATTCCTGCAGATCCTTGGATTGAGGTTAATTCGAGAGCAAGCCGTGAGTGAGGTAGCCTTTATTACTCATCATGTGTTTAAGAATGATGCAATGAGGCTTTGTTCTCTGCCTATCTGAATCACGTGGCCCAAGCAAGAGATATCTATTGAAATAGCAGATAGTAGTGTCATTCCATTATAATTACCATTATTTGAGCTTCAGAGAAGTGGCATTGAATAACTCAATTGGAGAATATGCAAGTAAAATTAACAAAACCGTACACTATTAAAAAATGACTTGGTAGATTTCTTCCAGAAAACTTAGAAAACAGAATCTCATAGCTCTCTGCATACTTTATGTCAGGCCTCTGAGCTCAAGCCTGCACGTATACATCCAGATGGCCTGAAGTAACTGAAGAATCACAAAAGAAGTGAAAATGGTCAGTTCCTGCCTTAACTGATGACATTACCTTGTGAAATTCCTTCTCCTGGCTCATCCTGGCTCAAAAGCTCCCCCACTGAGCACCCTGTGACCCCCATCCCTGTCCACCAGAGAACAACTCCCTTTGACTGTAATTTTCCACTACCCACCCAAATCCTATAAAATGGCCCCACCCCTATCTCCCTTCGCAGACTCTCTTTTTGGACTCAGCCCACTGCACCCAGGTGAAATAAACAGCCTTGTTGCTCACACAAAGCCTGTTTGGTGCTCTCTTCACACGGACGCGTGTGACACTTCATGATTACTTTTATTTGGACAAAGAGAAACCCTTGAATAATGAAGGTTCTCACATATAAAATGTGCTTTTAATTTTTAATACCTTACAAAATTATCAGATTAAATGACGTGGTAAAAAGTCATATGTAGGTTAACATCAGATGTTATCGTTCATTGCATCTTCTGGTCAGATAATACTGAGGTTATTGAAATATACAATGGCCTCAAATGCATTAAGAGCAAAAATAAAAAATTTCCCACTAGTTAGCAATTTAAAAAAAGTTGTCAAAATAATTGTTTCCTGATAATATCTACCAGAAGCATTTATGCTCTCATAGACAAATTAATATCAGCCATTGGGGAGGCCTCTCATAACTGGAGTGTCCTTGCTTGAACGCTACTGCTGAGAGCCACGAAGCAAAGCGAGCATGGCAGGTAGTTAGTCCAAGAATAAATTCAAATAACATAAAATAAAAATAAAATAAAACCTGTTATGGACTACAAGTAAGAGGCAGTGTCTATTTGCTGAAATTCAATCCAATTACTTTATTGTCCCAGGATTTTGTTTTTTAATTTTCATCTCCTTATAAATGTTTCCTCATAGTCATTTGGTAGCAGCATATTTATGTTCACTTTTATCCAATACAGGCTGCAAATATGCCCTTCACTTGACCCGGTCTATTAACTTTGAAATGCCTAAAGCCAAAACTGACAGTGGAAGAAAATCTTTCTGGGTTGTAGTTCCAAACTGTTGGAATAAAGCTACCTGCTTCAGTAAAAATGCATAGGCGTATTACTTTTCTTTCAGGAAATGTTAAGCTTTCCTTGAAATTAAAAAAAAAAAAGATTTTAGAATTAAATGTAGGAAAACTCAATTTCTCAATTCTTATTTTCAATATGCTTTATCTGTACTATGTTTAAGAGTATACAACACCTATGCTAGTGTAAATGTGGGCCCCAGGAGTCTTAATCATATTAAAAATTTTGGAGTTTCTTGTCCTAGTATATATTTGCTAATAAACTTCCATTGCTTTCAGAGATACAAAAATTTCTCCTGGTTATTTGCTGTTTTTACTTTTAAGAACCAAGTGAAAATTTGAATGGCTACTGTATTTTATAATTAATGTTAATATTCATAGGGTATAAAAATATGTTTTTCTAGCTCTAATCCAGTTATATAGCTTCTATTATTATTTTTTACTTTCTCCTGTGCCTTATAGAAATCTGCCATCAAAACCAAGTCACTGGCCCTACCACATTTGCTACAACTCTGATATTCCACATTTTACAAAGGTAAAGGAATTGAGCCTTTATGATTCTCATCCATATGAGGTTTATCCAAAATAAGGGAATCCAGGAGCTGAGCAATTAGCTGTGCACCTTATCTTACTTGCTTTCTTACTTTCTACTTTCCCAAGGTATCAACACCTTTGTCTACTTTCTACCTTTATAATTTATTCTTTTGACTCTTGAAGACATATGGTCTTCAATAATCTTTATTTAAAAAAAAAATATCCAGGCACTTTGAGGGTCTGAGGTGGGCAGATTGTCTGAGGTCAGGAGTTTGAGATCAGCCTGGCCAACATGGCAAAATACTATCTCTATTAAAAATAAAGAAAATTAGCTGGGCATGGCGGCGCAAGCCTGTAATCCCAGCTACTCGGGAACCTGAGGCAGGAGAATCGCTTGAGTCTGGAAGGCGGAGGTTGCAGTGAGCGGAGATCACGCCACTGCACTCCAGCCTGGGCAACAGAGTGAAATTTTGCCTCAATAAAACCCCACAAAAAAAAGAAACAAAAAGCCAGGCTGGGCAGTGGTGCAAACCGGTTTTCATGGCTACTTGAGAGGCTGAGTCCTGGGCAAGAAGATCCCTTGAGCCAGGAGTTCAAGTCCAGCCTGGGCAACATGGCAAGTCCCTGTCTCTTAAAAAACAACAACAACAAAAAATAACCATGAGCCTTAAATGCCCAACACAATACTTGCATATTAATATTCTTCAGTTCTCCATATTCTAGACATAGTGCTAGATATTGTTCATGACTTAGCTGTCACAAATAATCAAAGACAGAATTTGAGGAAGGATGGAGGAGGTTATAGGAGAGGCAAAAATGTCCTTAAGAAAAGAGGAACAAGTGCTTCAAGACAATTTTGCATAGCACAGACACAGCACTTAGTAGTCCCTATACCTCCCGTTTTGGCTTTTTCAAACCCAAATTCCCTACAAAATCCAGAGGATCAACAAAGGCGCTTGTCTCATCATCTCCCTTCTATGCTCAGTTGACTGCAGGAGTCCTCATTGCCTGCAGTGTCTGCCCCACAGTGGGTTCTGAAAGACAGTAATAGTCTCATGAAATGCCGTGGAATTAAAAGATTCAGTGATCCAAAAACTATGGGGGAACACTGAAAGCTGTATCTCTCTCTTAGAGATTTACAATACATGCTAGTATTTTAAGGACTCTGGAAAATCCTGGTAAAAAGGACTCTGTATAAAATGTGTTCAGCTGAGTTTCTTAAGGTGACTATGGAGCCGTTGTATTAAGGCCCAACCAGGAAGCACAATTTGGGAAATCCTGACCTTTAGGTGGAAGGGCACATGCATTAGCATGGCCGTCAAAGCCCCCCACTCCACACTAGCCTCCCTCATGCCTCTGCTCCCCAGCTTTGTACCTTGCTCTTCAGCAAGACTGAATTTGCTATCCTCTGACCACACACGCAGCTGGGTTCCACTGCCAACATTCTTGCAAGCTGCCTTTTCTACCATGAGTGCTCTGCCCCATGCCATGGGCCTGCCCCTCCTACTTACAGGCTTACTTCAGCTGGTTTAGGTGTTCTGTGGCCCTTCCTGAGAAGCTCTTGTGAGACTTCTTGTGTGTGAATACTGCCTCTGCCATTCACTCAGTGTGACCTTGGGCGAGTCACTTAACATCTTTGCCTCTCAGCATTATCCACACAGTGAGGGTATAAACAGTACCTACCTCATGGGGTTATGGAGAGGACTGACTTCATCAATACATATAGCGAGCTTAGAGCCAGGCTCCACACATGGTTAAGTACTCATAGGATGTCATGAATGCTGTGGTCCCCTGTGCATGTCTTTACCATTGCACACTGTTGTATTATCCTTATCTCCTTATGCATCTATATTCCCCATCCAATTATATTCTACTTGAACATTAGGGCTGTGTACTATTTATCTTTTTTTTTGATCTTTGGTGTCTAGCACATAGTAGGCAATCAATGAAATCCAATAATGACTTTATCTAATAAAAATTGATCAAACTTAATGAAATATGTTAAACCTATGGTCTGGGTAAACTTGGAATATTTTATAGTGCTAGAAAATCTCAGCTACGGCCACTGAGGTGAGCTATCTGTTTATAATTTGCTTATAGTAATACCAATACCAAAGCACATATTCAGTCCACAACCATCTGTTTCAACATGTTAGTGCACATATGAGGAAGCTAATGTTGCCTTCAGAAATTGCTAGGGGAGATAAAAAAAAAAGTATGAGACAATTTCTCTGGTCTCTTTCATCTATAAAAGTCTGTGGTCCTATGATTGATGAGCCAGCACAGAGCAGATTAGAAAACTGAAGAACAGTCAGAGTCAATTTGTAGATGCCCTTCAATTTCGTGATAAGACAATAGCAGTGATTATTGTCTCTTGCTTATTTGTTCCTTAATTGGAAGTAATACATCGTAAAATAAAAAGCACAAATAATAAAATCCTTATTTTAGTTCCTTATATTTCTCTTGGCTACAAATATTTCTTTTAATTAAAAAATATTATGCTAAATTATTTTTCAGTTGGTTAATCATTAGAATTTAGCAAGTAATTTTGGTCTACCTTAGTAACGTTTGGAAATTTGAAGGTGAGATTGTCTTTAAATAAATTATTTTTGGTTACAAAATTAATTGCTGTGTAGAAGTTTGAAAACAATGCAGTCTTTTGGGGCAGTTTTCTGACTTTTCTGTACTTGATTTTTTTTCTGACCTTCCATTAATAAACTATTTTATCATAATTTATGTTCTTAATGTCAATATATTTAACACATTTCCCAAAATAAATGAATATAAGTATATAATGTTAATTATTGATAAGTATTTATCAAAAGACATACTAGGTTTGACCAAAACATCTAAGTGGACAACACCTAAATTAATGATTTGTTTCCTTAAAATCATTTCTGGCTATCTCTCAAATGACCAGTGAAGTAACTTTTCTACAAAACCCTACTTGAAAGTTATTTCTTTTTCTAAATTGTTTCCATAGACGAAGCCACTAGGGTATCATTTAGTATGCTAAAAGTCATGTGCTATATTCTAAATATTGCCCCAATGATCTGAAAGAGTTCATATTTGTCTCTCAAAATGCCCCCTATCTTTACATGGAAAGAAGGAAATACGATAGCCTTTGACTTTATCTACCTGTCCATAACATTATACGTATGGTAAGTAATCGATGATCCTTTAATAACTAATTTTTTAAAAGAATTAAAACCAAATGATTTGGCTTTAAAAATCATGGTAGCATCAATTTTTATGTAATAAATGAAAACTACCTAGATTGCTATGCCATGGTTTGAATGAATTTTAATTAAAATAGCTTAATTGTATGTGTCTGACACTAGATAGCAAGAATTATTTCTTTTTCACAATGCAGATATGGATATATAAAATTTTAATGTGCTACATCAGTGCTGTAGTTTGAATTAATATCCAAATGTCTAGCTAGATTAAAGCAATGTTTTAATTGTATCACAAATATTAATTAACATAATTCTCATAACCGCACTATTGTTGCCCCATGTTCTAGATAAGGAAATGGAGGAATAGATTGTTTAAATAACTTAAAAAGAAAGTTAGTGATAGAAATACAGAATACAAAGAACTGAGGGCAGAGTTGATGTATAAACCATGATTTTCCAATTCCAGAGCTTGTATTCTTTCCTCTAAATCGCACCACTTCCTTAGAATGGCATTTTGGTTGGGGTTTACATTTGGATTTGGCATCACGTGGTCCCCAAAGCTATCCATACTATGGGCTTTACCTCATTTTCCTCTTACCTGCCGACTTTCTCTGTGATTCATAATCACTCAGTTTCTTGCTTATTATCTAATTGCCAATTTTCTTTTTACTTTCCAATTCGACTTTTGTTTATTAGATTTTTGTAAACTTGGATAACATTGTCCTTCAATTTAAAATAAAATCACCTTAATTTTTCTTTTTTCGAAAAAAGTTTACCTTGATAAATTGAGCTGTGAATACTTTTTTACTATCACAATGTATGTAGTCAAAAATATGCTGCCCAACACACTTTATAGGATCCAGTCCTTATAGGTAAAGGCTTTTCCAGAACTGAGTTAATGGAATGGAAGAAGCACCGTTGTTTTTTCATATTTCCCTGTGTAACTGCCATACTTTATAATTAACTTCTGGAAAGCCTGCACAATAAAGTTGCAATATATATTTCCTCCGATTTTATGTATATTAAGATTAAATATTATACATTATGTGTCAAGATTGTTTTCTGTTGTGTCTTTTCATTTTATTTTAGATTTAATTTCCTCAAACTTCAATATTAGAATATTCAAATAAACATATGTACCTCTATTCATAAATGCCTTTTTATTTCTGATAGCCTACAGATAACTTGAGAATACCAAAAAAATGAATATTTAAACCAGAACTCATTCCCAGAAGCAGAATTGTGTACATGTGTGCATGCACATGTGTGTGTATGTTTGCATGTACTAATCTGCTTAAGTATGAGTTTTAAAACACCACATTTTAATCTTTACTCACGATACCACTGAGAAGTTTATATTCAATATATCTATTAAATAATAACAGCACTGGACTAAGAAGCTCTGAAAAAGAGAGGTATGTAAAGGAAACAGTCTACATCTCAGAAGAATATAACATTGTTCTAAATCCACACAAATGATTCCATTTGACTGATAAAAGTCATTGCGGTTCAAAGAGATTTCCAAGGCTTCAAACACAGTTGTCAGTGTAGCCATGGTCCTAAGGCGCTGTGTTCCAGGAGCAATAAGTACCCACTCATTTGTTCATTTTCCTTTTTTTTTTTTTTTGAGACAGAGTCTCTTTCTGCCACCCAGGCTGGAATGCAGTGGTGTGATCTCTGCTCACTGCAACCTCCGCCTCCAGGGTTCAAGCGGTTCTCCTGATTCAACCTCCTGAGTAGCTGGGACTACAGGCGCCTGCCACCTCACCTGACTAATTTTTGTACTTTAAGCAGAGACAGGGTTTCACCATGTTGGCCAGGCTGGTCTTGAACTCCTGCCCTCAAGTGATCCACCCGCCTCGGCCTCCCAAAGTGCTGGGATTACAGACGTGAGCCAGTGCACTTTGTCCATCTGTTCATTTTCTTGATGTAAACTCAAATTAAAACAGATTACTTTCATTTGCTCTTCTGTTTCTTCTGTAACTGCAGTGAGCCACAGAACTTAACATCCCTCTCAACATGATCTCCTGTTCCACTCATGGAAGTGAGGACTGGAAACCAAGAAATCCTGAAAAAATATCTCAGCTTGATGCAATGGGGTGGCAGGGTGCAACAGAACAGTACAGAGCAAGAGGTAGCGTGAGGCAAAAAAGTGGCATGAGGCAATAAAGTGGCATGCTGTAATAAAGTGGCATGATGCAATGGGGGCATGATGCAATAGGTTGGCATGATGCACTGGAGCACCATGAAGGCATAAGGGGAGGCAGAATGCCATGTGGTAGCATAATGTTCTATCGGTTTGTGTCCGTACACCTGCCTGCCTCCAATGCCCCTTAGCATTCCTGAAGTTCCCCGACTCTCCTTTTTTTCCTTAGCCTTGCTTGCTAATTTGTCTGTTCTTTCTTCATTCATCAGTTCATGTCTAGCTGCTTCATGTCAGAACGCTAGAACTCTGTACGATGCCTTGCAGAAATCTCACTTGTGGGAGCAGACAGAATGGACAGGCTGTATGAATTCCTCATAAGTAGCGTGGAGACCTTGGGCCTCCCCAGCCTTGCTTAATAATTTCATGGAGTAGAGATGACGGATGCCAGCTCACAGATTTGTTTTGAGTGCTAAATGCAGAGCAACCAGCCTTGGAGAGCTTCTTGGGAATCTTTGGTTCCTCTTGCCCTTTCAGGAAAGGATGAATGTGTGTAAACAAAGAAACAAAATTTGAGCAGGTTTGAGGCTGCAGGGTGAAGGCATTTCTTTCAGTTGGCTCTGGGAGCACCTGCAGACCTCGAATCCTTCACTCTTCCTCCTTTCTTCCAAGAACTCACTACGCTTTCCATCCTCCTTTCCTCCATGAGACAAAGCACCCTCCAGAATGATGCTAAGTGCAGTACCTCCATGCTCAAAAGCTGCTGATATCAACATTGGCCTGTTAATAAAATATGGAACCTTCAGACTGACTCTCCAGGTTCTATGTGCACGCCAGCTTGGGCACAGTCCTCACCGCTGCCCGGCGGGTCCTCCCTGTCCTTACCAAACTGTGCTGCTTGCCATCCTCTGAATATGGCCCCACATGTGCTTCTGCTCTGCCCAGCCATCCACTGGAGGGGTATCTCATCGTCCCACCTCCGCCCAAGGAAAACCTGCCTGCTCTCAGAACCTGCCTCAGTCCGTCAGGTTGATGAAGTCTAATTTGGTTCAGCTTTCAGAGATTCCTGGTAGTTTTAAACTGAAAAGTTCATAAGTGTTGTGGGGGCCATTGCCATTTCACCTCGGAGATGAGATAACTGATGTTCAGATCTAAAAGATTCTAAGAGAGTCGCACTCTGCTAAGTCCCATAGCATTTTAGGGAAAACTACTAAATATATTGAAGATACTTGTGTACATTTATTAGTTCCTGTTATGGGCCGAATTTTGTCTCTCTTCTCCGGGTAAATTCATGTTTGAAGCCCTAATTTCAATGTGACTGTATTTGGATATACAGCCTTTAAAGGGTGTAATTAAGGCTAAATAGGTTCATAAGGGTGGGGCCTAATCCAATAGGACTGATATCCTCATAAGAAGAGGAAGAGACCTCAGGGACGCTTGAGCACAGAGGAAAGGCCACGTGAGGGCAGACAAGGCAGCATCTGCCAGGCAATGAGAGAGGCCTCAGGAGAAACTGCAGGCACCTTGATCCTGGACTTCCAGACTCCAGAACTGTGAGAGAATAAATGTCTGTTGTTTAAGGACCCCAGTCTGTGATACTCATTATGGCAGACCTAGTTGACAAATACGGCTCACCTATGAAATGTAAAGCTCCATCATGCAGTCTTTGAATCTCCCAGGGTTCTGAGATATGATTTAATAAATATTTGTAGAATGACAAAATTTTATCTGTGATGACTATGTCACACACACACACACACACACACACACACACACACACACACCCCTTTAGGCCACCCACTGTGTCACATTCCTCTCCCTTCTTTCCTTGAAAGCACTGCTTCCAAGGAAAGAATAATCACTTTACTTGGAAATAAATTATCCTCTAAATTAGAAATATGTGCCTTTCAAAATTTGAATATCAATCTCTGTAGGTGAATTTTATCTCCCTTTATGCTTTACAAGTAGGTTTACTTGCCCCACGGAGTGCCACATTGGTCCAGATAATAAATTAATACCATTTGATTGTAAATACAATATAAACCTTTTTGAAACAGGTCTCATTCTCAAGTTATTTGTTGTTTAGAAAAGTCTTATTTCAATGACCAGAAACGTAAAACTGGTACTGTTTCAAACAGGCCTGCAACACACAATTTATCATTGAATAAAATGTATTTATATTATGGCCAAATGGATTATCATTGAAGCAGAAGTGATTGAGTGAAGTAGTTTAGAAAAATGTCTGGCTATTTAAAATAAATTTGAGAACTTTATGACATTGTTTTATTCATCAGAAAGAATTACATGTAGATTTAAACAAAAAAATCAAGATTTTCAAAAGGAAATAAATGCCTTCTGCCAGATCTACCACACTTTAAGCCCTCTAAAACCAGCATATTCCTTATTAGCTTCATTGCTCAGACCATGTTTATTTTCTAAGTGAATGGTATTACAGGGCTTGTGATCACAGTATTAAGACCTGAAGTATTATGACCATTACTATGTGGAACATATTTCTTTGGAGTCCAAAGATTTTCCACATGCATTAATTTCCCCCCTTTCTCAAATGTGTGCTCTGTGGCTATACCTCAGCTTCTTCATTGATGTGAAGTATTTTGTTGTGTGTTTGTTGTGGGGGGGGGGGGTGGTGAGGGGAAGGGACATGTTTTATTTAGTAAATGTCACAAGGCCTAACAGCTCTCAGAGGTAATCAGATTTGGTAATGACTAAGCTGGATCAGTTTTTAAATGGTTAAAACAAACAAACAAACAAACAAAAAAGCAAATAAAAGCTCTCATGTTTTCTCATTACTTTAAGAATGCCAGCCAACCCCTGACAAAAGAATTTAAGGTAATATTTTTAAAATAGTAGTATCTTTTTTATATGTGCTCTGCCCTTTTTCAATGTTATAAAATATCCCTGTGTTGACTTACTGTACATTGATTTTAATAGGCGTTCTCTACAGAGCAATATGAATATCATTGGAAACTGTATAATACAATTTTCTACCCCTGAAATGCTATAGAAAACTGCACATTTTATACTGACATGTGCCCCATCAATAATAGAGTTTTTATATCTTATTTGTAGCTATTGATCTCAACAGCATAATGAAAAATTGATTGTAGTGAAGTGCACCATTTCTTAAGTATAAATTTCAATGTCAAATTATTTTTATCTATGCTTCCCAATTATACATGGAACTTATACATTTATATATGTTTGCTTCCACAAAACTCTACTGCAATAAATTAGATATGACAAGAATCTACTGAGTCAATAGAAACCATGTTTCTTTCACTAAAATATGATTCCAAAATTAAATATGCTAGTTTGATACTAGTTTCATTTCATCATTATGAAGAGAATTAATGCCTCAATATATAGGTATCACCTTCCCATGCAATTTAAAAATTTTAAATGAGGTCTTAAATCTTCTGGGGATATAAATACACACACATGCACACACACGTACAGAAAAAACTATGTACCCAGAAATCCATGCATTCATTTGGTAGTCCACATGATACTTTAAACAAGGTGCCTGTTTTTTCTTATCTCTTGATACCTTATTATTTTAGAGGGAACATTCTGCTAGGAAAATCTACAGGTATAGGTCTGATAAAAAGTAAGAGGTGAATCATTTCTGCTCTTCAACAGTGATCCACAAGTCCAATATTACAGACAGAGATGAGTGAGGGTAGAAATCCACTAATCTAAACATAATCTACAAACAGGAAGCAAAAGATCCAGAGATGAGAAAAAAATATTTCTTAAGTTAACTTGTCCTTTCATGTTATTTTGAATTGAAACCATTAGTAAAAAGTTTTTACAGTTTTTCTCTGAGCTATGTAAGTGTAAACATAACTATATTATTCAATAAAATATATTAATCTCACAAAAGAAAGTCTGAAACATATGTGTATTCCTCTGGATAAAACACTTTTTTCAGCATTTATGCTGAGATAGTAATATTCATAGTATGGTAATAATAGTAATAATATTATGATCATGTGCCCTGCAGAAATGATAATCAGCCTCACTCACACTCATTAATAATAAAATATGGAAAATTATTTTGCCCTTTCAATCTCTGCATGGGTTTATAACATCCTTGAATTAACAGCAGCTATTTGGCAGTAGGGTTTTGGAGGGGTAGAGTATTATTCATTTTTAAAAACAGATTTATTGAAATTTAATTCATATACTATAAAATAGATCTCTTTGTATTTTACAATTAAGTGGTTTCGACAAATCCACAGAATTTTGAAACCATCACACAATCGAATTTTAGAACATTTTCATTATCCCTAAAGGATATCCTAGATCTATACCCAGCCACTCCCTTAACCCTCCGCCTCTGCCAGTCAATAAACTATGTGCTTTTTCTCTCTATGGGCTTGCCAACTTTGGACATTTCATATAAATGGAATTATACAATATGTGACCTTTTGTGTCTGGCTTCTTTCACTTATCACAATGCTTTCAAGATTCATCCATGTTATCTAGCCCTAAACGCCTACATCAAAAAGCCTGAAAAAGCACAAACTGACATTATAAGGTCACACCTCAAGGAATAGAGAAACAAGAACAAACTAAAACCAAACCCAGCAGAAGAAGGAAAATAACCAAGATCAGAGCTGAACTAAATGAAATTGAAATAAAAAAATACAAAAGATAAATGAAACAAAAAGCTGACTCTTTGAAAGATAAATAAAATTGGTAGACCATTAGCAAGATTAACCAAGAAAAGAAGAGAGAAAATCCAAATAACCTCACTAAGAAATGAAACAGGAGATATTACAACTGACACCACTGAAATACAAAAGATCATTCAAGGCTATGACGAACACACTTATGCACATAAAGTAGAAAACCTTGAAGGGATGGATAAATTGCTGGAAAAATACAACCCTCCTAGATTAAATCAGGAAGAATTAGGCACCCTGAACAGACCAATAACAAGCTATGAGATGGAAATGATAATTAAAAAATTACTAACGAAAAAAGCCCAGGACCAGATGGATTCACAGCAGAGTTCTACCAAACATTCAAAGAAGAATTGGTACCAATCCTTTTGGCACTATTCCACAAGACAGAAAAAGAAGGAATCCTCCCTAATTCATTCTATGAAGCCAGCATCACCCTAATACCAAAACCAGGAAAGGACCAACCAAAAAAGAAAACTACAGACCAATATCTTTGATGAACATAGATGCTAAAATACTTAACAAAATACTAGCTAACCAAATTCAACAAAATATCAAAAAGGTAATCCACAATGATCAAGTGGGTTACATACCAGGGATGCAGGAATGGTTTAACATACAGAAGTCAATAAATGTGATACACCACATAAACAGAATTAAAAATAAAAAACCACGTGATAGTCTCAATAAATGCACAGAAAGCATCAGACAAAATCCATCATCCCTTTATGATTAAAACTCTCAGCAAAATCAGCATACAAAGGATATATCTTAATGTAATAAAAGCCATCTATGACAAACCCACAGCCAACATAATACTGAAAGGAGAAAAGCTGAAAGCATTCCATCTGAGAACTGGAACAAGATAAGGATGCCCACTCTCATCACTCCTCTTCAATGTAGTACTGGAAGTCTTAGCCAGAACAATCAGGCAACAGAAAAAAATTGGGCCAGGCGTGGTGGTTCATGCCTGTAATCCCAGCATTTTGGGAGGCTGAGGCAGGTGGATCACCTGAGGTTAGAATTTCGAGAGGAGCCTGGCCAATGTGGTGAAACCCCATCTCTACTAAAAGTATGAAAATTAGCTGGGTGTGATGGCAGGCACCTGTAATCCCGGCTACTTGGGAGGCAGAGGCAGGAGGATTGCTTGAACCTGGAAGGCAGAGGGGGCAGTGACCCGTGATTGCGCCATTGCACTGCAGCCTGGGTGAAAAAAGCAAAACTCCATCTCAAAAAAAAAAAAAAAAAAAAAAAAGGAAAGAAAGAAAAGAAAAGGGCATCCAAATCTGTAAAGAGGAAGTCAAACTGTCACTGTTAGCTGATATGATCATTTACCTTAAAAACCCTAAAGACTCCTCCAGAAAGCTTCTAGAACTGATGAAAGAATTCAGCAAAGTTTCCGGATATAAGATTAATATACACAAATCAGTAGCCCTCGTATACACCAACAGTGACCAAGAGGAGAATCAAATAAAGAACTCAACCCCTTTTACAACAGCTGAAAAAAATAAAATAAAATGCTTAGGAATATTCCTAACCAAGAAGTCCAAAGACCTCTACAAGGAAAACTACAAAACACTGCTGAAAGAAATCATAGATGACACAAACGAATGGAAACACATCCCATGCTCATGGATGGATAGAATCAATATTGTGAAAATGACCATACTACCAAAAGCAATCTACAAATTCATCGCAATCCCCATCAAAATACCACCATCATTCTTCACAGAACTAGAAAAAAACATTCTAAAATTCATATGAAACCAAAAAAGAGCCAGCATAGCCAAAGAAATACTAACCAAAAAGAACAAATCTGAAGGCATCACACTACCTCATTTCAAACTATACTATAAAGCCATAGTCACCAAAACAGCATGATACTGGTATAAAAATAGGCACATAGACCAATGGAACAGAATAAAGAACCCAGAAATGAACCCAAATACTTACAGCCAACTGATCTTCAACAAAGCAAACAAAAACATAAAGTGGGGAAAGGACACCCTTTTCAACAAATGGTGCTGGGGCTGGGCATGGTGGCTTAGTGCTATAATCTCAGCACTTTGGGAGGCCAAGAAGGGTGGACCACATGAGGCCAGGAGATTGAGACCAGCCTGGCCAAAGTGGTGAAACCTCATCTCTACTAAAAAATACAAAAATTATCTGGGTGCAATGGCGCATGCCTGTAGTTCCAACTACTCAGGAGGCTGAGGCAGGAGAATCACTTCAGTCCAGGAGGTGGAGGTTGCAGTGAGCCAAGATTGCACCACTGCATTCAATCCAGGTGACAGAGCAACACTCCGTCTCAAAAAAAAAAAAAAAAATGGTGCTTGGATAATTGACTAGCCACATGCAGGAGAATGAAACTGGATCTTTATCTGTCACCTTATACAAAAATCAACTCAGGATGGATTAAGGACTTAAATCTAAGAGGTAAGGCCTGAAACTATAAAAATTCTAGAAGGTAACATTGGAAAAACACTTTTAGACATTGGCTTAGGTAAGGATTTCACGACGCAATAAAAACTGGGACCTAATTAAACCAAAGAATTTTTGCACAGCAAAAGGAACAATCAGCAGAGTAAACACACAACCCACAGAGGGAGAGAAAATCTTTACAATCTATACATCTGACAAAGGACTGATATCCAGAATCTATAACGAACTCGAACAAATCAGTAAGAAAAAAACAAACAATCCCATCAAAAAGTGGGCTAAGGACATGAATAGACAATTCTCTAAAGAAGATATACAAATGGCCAACAAACATATGAAAAAATGCTCAACATCACTAATGATCAGGGAAATGCAAATCAAAACCACAATGTGATGCTATCTTACTCCTGCAAGAATGGCCATAATCAAAAAATCAAAAAACAGTAGATGTTGGCGTGGATGTGGTGATCACGGAACACTTCTACACTGCTGGTGGGAATGTAAACTGGTACAGCCACTATGGAAAACAGTGTGGAGATTCCTTAAAGAACTAAAAGTAGAACTACATTTGATCCAGCAATCCCACTACTGGGTATCTACCCAGAGGAAAAGAAGTCATTATATGAAAAAGATACTTGCACACGCATGTTTATAGCAGCACAATTTGCAATTGCAAAATCATGGAACAAATCAAATGCTCATCAATCAACGAGTGGATAAAGATACTTTGGTATATATGTACAATGGAAAACTACTCAGCCATAAAAAGAAATGAATTAACAGCATTTGCAGTGACCTGGATGAGATTGGAGACTATTATTCTAAGTGAGGTAACTCAGGAATGGAAAACCAAACATTGTATGTTCCCCGTGATATGTGGGAGCTAAACCACGAGGATGCAAAGGCATAAGAATGATACAATGGACTTCTGGGTCTTGGGGGGAAGTGTGGGAGGGGGGCGAGAGTTAAATGACTACAAATAGGGTGCAATGTATACTGCTCAGGTGATGGGTACACCAAAATCTCACAAATCACCACTAGAGAACCCGCCCATGTAACCAAATACCACATGTGCGCCAATATCTTATGGAAAAAAAAAGATTCATCCATGTTATAGCCTGTGTCAGGACTTCATTCTTTTTCATGGAAGAGTAACATTTCATTGTATGGACACATCACAGTTTGCTCATCCATTTACCAGTTGGTGGACATTTGGGTTGTTTGCATACCTTGGCTATTATGAATAATGCTGCTGTGAACATTATCCATAATAGTCAAGATATGCAAACAACCTCAGAAAAAGTGTACACTTATTTTTTTTTTAGTGTACAAGTTTTTGGGTAGACGTGTTTTTATTTATCTTAGGCATGTATGTCTAGGAATGGAATTGCTTGCTTTCTATGTTTAACTTTTTAAGGAACTGCAAACTGTTTTCCAACTGGTTATAACATTTTACATTTCCACCAGCAATGTATGAAGGTTCCAGTTTCTCCAGAAAACTGTTTCTTGACAATAGTTTTATTATCTTTCTTTTTTATTATAGCCATCCTAGTTTGTATGAAGTGGTGTATTGTGATTTTTGATTTGCATTTTCTCAGTGACAAATGATGTTTCCATTGGCCCATTGGCTATTTCATGTGCCCGCTGGCCACTTGCATGTCTCATTTGGAGAAATGTGTGTTCAAATCCATTTCTGTTTTTAGATTGGGGCATTTATCTTTTCATTGTAGAATTGTAAGATTTTTTAATATATATATTTTGGACACAAGTCCCTTATCAAATAGATGATTTGCAAATATATTCTTCCACAGTATTTTTTTCAATTTTTAATTTCAGCCAAGTTTTCTGTCTACAATTGAAAGTTCTACCGTTGACAATAGTAAACAAATATGGCAAGCTTGTACCAAATGGAAATGGATCTTCAGCTCTACATGAAAGATCTGACTACAATAGGACTTCAGTTGATATGAAATAGAAATGCAGCATATACAGATACAGGCTGGATTCCTGTTGTACTATCCCAATTTTCAATTTACTTAGCAAAAGCTTCAGAAAACTGTCAAGTGTCAAAGTCTGTAGCATGTCGACAAAAATCTGTGAAAGGGTGTAAGTAAATGAATAGTAGAGAAAAATGTGCAGTATTAAAAACAAGGATCTTTAGAGGGAGGCTGAAGTGCTATAGCAACTGAGTATGAGAAAACTAGCAGATTTGACTGAGGGGAAGTCATAATTGTAACACTTTGCTATTGACAGATGGGGGCCCAGAAGGTAGCTTGGAGTCAAAACAGAGCACCAAACACAGGAATAACTCGTGAGAGTAGATGAGATCAAATGCATGTT
The DNA here is from genome assembly GCF_000001405.40 of Homo sapiens. Classification (NCBI taxonomy): domain Eukaryota; kingdom Metazoa; phylum Chordata; class Mammalia; order Primates; family Hominidae; genus Homo; species Homo sapiens. The sequence continues at coordinate 103,419,836 of NC_000002.12, forward strand.
TATAAAAAGATAATTATTTTAGAAGAGGCTCTAAATAAAGATTCCTCAGCTGTGAGGGTTCAAAGCAACAATTATTTTCATTCTCTTAATTTTCCGTTACTGACATTGATGGTCCAGTTGAGAGCATCAGCATTTTACTGCTTAATTGTATATTGCTCTCTGCAAAAATGACTATTCTACTGTGAAAAAGTTACAACAAATCAGGAAGCCATCATTTCATACAGGTTTAGTGCTGTAACCTCATCACTCATTCATTTCATTCATGTCATAAGTCCTTAATGAATAATCTTATGTATCTGGAACATTGCTAAACCGGTATAATGTTAATCAAGACATAGACCATGCCACCTCACAGTTCATGGCTTAGTGGGAAGGAGATAACAAATAAAAATATAATTGTATATAGTAAAATTGTATACCTTCAATGGCATACCACTGAAGTTTTCTGAAGTCTAGGGGTGCCAGACATTAGTAATTCATGAGTCCATTTGTCTATCTGAAAGAAGCATGTTGAACTTGCCCAAGGAATAAAGAAGAATGTTGTCCTTGCAGGTAGGATACCTATGTTTCCCCATGATGACTGTCTCAGTTCTCCATGGAGAAAAGCAAAACTTGTGTACTCAGAGACTTGGTTAAGAAGTGTGTATACATATTGAAGAGGGGAAAATACTATATCATTATTATCATGGCTCCTTCATCTACCATGACATTATAAGGAAAGAGCTAAGACCCTGAAGCCAAACTGCCTTGGTTTAAATCTCGATTCTGCCACTTAGCAGACGTGTGACCTTTAGTAAGTTACTAATTTTTTCTGTGCCTTAATATTCTCATTTGTAAAAGTGGGGATGAAAATAGCACCTGGGTTATAAGGCTGTCATATACATTGAATGTGGATAAACATGTAAAGTTTGGGGGACACGATCTGGATCATGGAAAGCACGCAAAAGATTTTTTTTTTAGCCTCAATTTAGTTTTTCCAAAAACTGTGTGTGTGTGTGTGTGTGTGTGTGTGTGTGTGTGTGTGTGTGTGTGTTGGGGGAGGGGATAGGGAGGTGCATGGGGGCCAGCAAATTCTCTTTATGGGCTTTTATTGCATAGCTGGCAAGGAAGAAAATTCACCACCCGTAACCTCAGGAAGAGGGCATCTGTGTTTGCCTGGAGCAATTGCCAAGTGACATTTGTGGAGAAACTGTTTTCCTTCTTTCATTCCACAAAAATGTCTTGACAGCCTACTCTATGTCTCATTACTGTGTTTCACTTTCTTCGTGGAACTTATGCTTCTCTGGAATCATCTTACTTGTTTACCTGTGCATTGTCTGTCTTTTTGCATGAGAATATGAATGCTGTGAGTGCAGTGCTATCCTTGGCTATATTCCCAGGGCCTATCACCATGCATGACACATCATAGTGGGATGATAAGTATTTACTGAATAAATTGATACCCAATAATATGCTTGTATTGATGGAGGGATGCGGCCTATTAGCCCACCTTCTGGATGGGAAGAAGATATGTGAATATATAGCCCCAGCTCAAGATTTGATTAGGAAAACACAGCATGTCCACACCCTCTCAGTGGAGACAAGCTGTCTTAGTTGCCCAAGAGCTTAGCGCAATACTCACTGAACACAATATTTTCATTTGCTTGTATTTTTCCTGAATAGACTCATGTAACATCTGGGCTCACATAGAGGCAAGCTATGTTATACTGGGGCAATGTATAACTCAGATGTTTGGATTCTATGTGTATGGGTTTGAATAGGCCTCTCCTTCTGTGTGAATGATATGCTTAGTGCTGACGGCATTTACTAGAAAATTAACTTTACTACTCAATGACTAAGTTCATATTGGCAATCAAATATCCAAGTGTTTGCCTAGACTCCTCTTCAAAAACATAAAAGAGCAAAAATGTAAAAATCGGTTGTTTTTTTCATAACTTTCTTTTATGCTCTAGATTTTTCAGGTTGAGATAGTTAGAAATAGGATTTACTTCTATTTTTTAACATTCAGAAAATGTCTATTTCACTTACAACCAGAAAATATTGACATGAACACCCTGTACAGATTACTAAAAAGTCCCAGAAATTGCATTTGAATTTGTTTTAAGATTTTCCTGAAACTTGTAGCTGTCTTCTCTTTTTGATGAAGGTCTTACTTTTTTGTGACTAGTAATTGCTCAAAAAATTGGAAATTAAGCACCAAGCATTGTCCTAAGAACCTCAAATCTAATTTTGCATTCCTGGGAGGCAGATGCTGTTATTATTCCCTTTATATAGTTATGGAAACAAAGGCAAAGATTAAGTAAACTGCCCAATGTCCTACAGCTAGTTAAGCGGTATAACTGGAATTTAAACCTGTGTCTATCTGTCTACGAAATGGCTGCTGTTAAGCACTACACAATAATATTGTTCTTTTTTTTTCTCTTACTTCCATTCATTGATCTGATATTTGTTTGTTTGTTTCTAATCATTGCTTTTCATTCCCTGTTATGTTTTCTCTTTTCTGTCATCTCTGGCAATTTAAAATTATCCAGAATATTGTTGAATTTGGAAATTACGCTGCTTGGTAACAGCCCAGATAGGAATATCTTAATCCTCTAGGCCTTCCTGGATGTTTTCCTCTCATCTTGTTTTCTCTCAAAGGCCTCCTGAGTTTCTCTTACAGGTAATCTCTATCCAACCTCAACCGCAAACCCTTGTGCCATCTGAGCCAGGGCTTTCCCTCTCATCTCCACAGCCAAGAGTGTTGAATTATATGTCATTATAACTTCTATAGGAATTTCATTTCCTAAATTTCTGAAGTTTCGATCAAAATATATAATAATATCCAACTTTGCCCTTTGTAAAATTGTAGTGGTTCTGCTAGACCCCTAGATAGATACCTGGTAGCTCCACTACTTCCTTCAATTCATGAACTGCCCCCTAAAATTTACTTCAACTGCTTTTAAACCTTTTGTTCCTTCTCCATGGGTTCCTTTTCTCAACAAGTTACTGCCCTAGAATTCAGCAGGTGAGTGTGCTATGATGAGCTTTCTCATGATATAAATGAAAAGGAGCTGTGGGTCTGAATCGTAACTTTTGTAATCTTAGGGACATTTCTGCTCTGCTAAAATAGGGTCTTCTCTTTCTCACCTCCCTCCCGATAGCTGTATTACTTATGAACATTCTTTTGCTTTGATATCACGATAAAAATATTTATAACTATTCTGTCATACTTTATTCACTGTTACTAGGTAGGTTCTTTCTATCTCTTTTGTCTAGCTTTCTTCAGAAATCTTTTTTCCATAAATGGTGTATCTCAGGCAAAAATGAAGCTCTTCTGAACAAAGAGAAAAGAGTAGGTCTCTTACTATTACCCTCTGAATATAGGAGAATATCCTCCTTCAAAAAAATGAGCCTTTATTTGAGGAAATTGGTGTTACTACAAATGCAGGGGGCAATTTAGCTGTACTGGTAATAACAACTTTAATATATTTTCAAGCTAGCAGTACTGTGGGCACGTTCAATGGTGCAGACCTGTGGATCTTCAGTCTTCATTAAAGTAATGGTTAGCGGAGACCCTCCACTATTCTTTACAAAAAATGGGAAGAACATCATGGTGCAGTCCTGGAAGAATATAAAAGGCCTTCTTTTCTAAATTGTCTTCTAAACAACACAAGTTCTAAGGCATGCTATTTTTGGGGAAAAAAGGTGGGGGTTATTTCAAGTTGAATATGTTAAACACATATTCAAGAATAACCTTCTTTGACCCAGTAACTCTCCTGAGTTTCTGACATGCTAATGAGCTCTTTAAGTTCCCATGGGGTGAAAATGGTGACAAAGAACACCTCATTTCCTGATCTTCAACTTCAGTGGACTTATTGGAGGGGTCGTTTCGTGTAGTAGTCTCCGTAAGGCACTGTGGGAAGGGATTCTCTAACTCTACCAAATTTTTCCTTTGGCTTAGACAAGACCATAAGAAAGCTTTCAACCCAGATTATTTTATTTTAGCTATTCAAAAACATTTATTTTTGTATGTGCACCGTCAAATCTCACTGAAAGGCATTTCCACAAACAGGACAGTGACATTTACTGTGTCATTTCTTATAAGAATATTGTCAACTCTGCTTGTTATCTCAGATAGTAGGACATTTACAGGGACCCACGAGGGTACTTTCCATTACATTGTGTTACCAGGAAAAACAATGCTATTTAGCAAATTTTGTGTTGTCCAAAATTTTCCCATGAAAAACATAGCAAAGAACAATAATTATTTTATTGATGCTTAATTTAGCTTTAAAAGAAATAATTATTAGTTTAAAAATACATTTTAATTTTAAATATATTCATATTTAGTAATTATTTGTGTACAAAATGAAATGTGCACTTACCAAACAAATATATTACACCTTGCAGTTATCATTCTGTTTCACTGTTTTACATTTTAAATACAACTTAAAATGAGAATTTCAGAATGCAACAAACTCAATTTCTCTCTTATAGTATTATGCTATTATACTTTAGTTTATTTAAAACTGACTGTTAAACACAGGGTTATCTAAAACCGTAGGGACCGGAGACAATAACTGTGCCCAAAGTGAGTTTAAATTATTTCAAACTGTTATAAACCTATTCTTGAAATGAATGTATGTAGCTAATTCCACATGGTACAATTAAAACTGTGTTAACTAGAAGTTCTGCAAGTTAGTGGCCATGTAGAATGCCATGATTATCAAACATAAGTAATAAAATTACATGCATTTGAAACTGACATATGTTATTAAACTTAAAGGTAACTGCAGCAATTGTTAGAACTTAGGCCAACAAATAATTTTAAGTTATCTGTAGAAAATGCATCTTGGGTGAGCCATTACCATCACTGCACTCCCCCACCCAAACTTCTGCTTGGTACTCCTTGTCCTCTGGATATTTATTATATGCACTACATTCAACTAAACTCTATGTAAATTTCATAGTCATGTTTTCCTTTGTTCCATCTTGGTTATTTATACCATAGCGATGTATAAAAATGGCTTAACATCCTTTTGCTAAGTGTTATAGATTGAATTTTGTCTACCCAAAACTTGTAGACATAATTTGGAGATAGGGTCTTTACAGAGGAAATCAGGTTAAATTAAGGTCATTAGGTTGGCTCTAATCCATATGACTGATGTCCTTATAAAAAGGTGAAATTTGGACACAGATACATACAAAGGAAAAAAAGATGTGAAGAAACACAGAGAAGATGGCCATCCACAGGACAAGGAGTGAGGTTTTGAACAGATTCTTTCTTCACAGCCCTCAGGAGAATCCAAACCTGCCAACATCTTGATCTTGGACATCCCGTCTCCAGAACTGTGAGACAAGACATGTGTTGTTTAAGCCACACAGCCAGTCTGTCATACTTTGTTATGCACTAATATGAATATGAACAAAAAGTAAAGAAGCTGACCATATTATTAACATAATTGTCTTACTTCCAACCTTATTGCACCTTTGCTTGTGGTTCTGTGTTCATTCTGACAGCCCCCCGACTTCCTTTTCTGTCATCGAGGAGGCCCTTATGCACAGTCATTGTGTGTTAGACTGCCCTACTCCAAACCTGTCCCTTTGCTCTCAGCACATGACGTGGCCAGAAAGATTATTTAAAACAGAACAAACAAACAACAAACTAGAAAATGGGGCTATTTGGGAGGATCAGTGTCATCCTCCAAATACAAAGCTTCCTATATTCCTTTCTTCAGTTTTACGTTCTTGCAGTATTGAGAACGAAATCCAGCAACACTACTCTACTTCCATCATAAAGTATTCTGGAAGATACTTCATTATCATCTCTCCTGCTTCTAAAACGGCCCAACCCCCATCTCCTATGTTTCCCTTCAATATATGCTTATTCTCTAGCATTTTCTCCAGTTAAAACAAAACAGCCGGTCGCGGTGGCTCAGGCCTGTAATCCCAGCACTTTGGGAGGCCGAGGCGGGCAGATCATGAGGTCAGGAGATCGAGACCATCCTGGCTAACAGGGTGAAACCCCGTCTCTACTAAAATTACAAAAAAATTAGCCGGGCGCGGTGGCAGGCGCCTGTAGTCCCAGCTACTCGGGAGGCTGAGGCAGGAGAATGGCGTGAACCCGGGAGGCGGAGCTTGCAGTGAGCCGAGATCGCGCCACTGCACTCCAGCCTGGGCGACAGAGCGAGACTCTGTTTCAAACAAAACAAAACAAAACAAAACACAGGACTTAAAGTCCTGCTTATAGCAGAGTATGCAGGGTTGAGTTCCTGCTTACCCTCTCACTGTTCACAAATGTACAGTTGAACAAAATGTATAATTTAGGCTGGGCGCGGTGGCTCACGCCTATAATCCTAGCACTTTGGGACGCTGAGGCGGGCAGATCACCTGAGGCCAGGAGTTCAAACCCTGGCCAACATGGTGAAACCCCGTCTCTACTAAAAATACAAAAATTAGCCGGGTGTGAAGGCAGGCGCCTGTAATGCCAGCTACTCCGGGAGCTGAGACAGGAGAATTGCTTGAACCGGCGAGGCAGAAGTTGCAGTAAGCCGAGATGGCATCACTGCACTCCAGCCTGGGTGACAAGAGGGAGCAAAATGCCGTCTCAAAAAAAAAAATGTATATTTAATATATTATATATTTATATATAATATATTAATTTATTTTTATTTAATAGATTAGTTATTTATTTATATATTTAATATATAAAATATATATTTAATATATAAAATGTATATATATACATATATTATATATAATACAATATATATTATATATAATATATATTATATATAATATTATATATTATATTATAATATAATATATATTATATATAATATAATATATATTATATATTATTATATATAATATAATATATATTATATATTATTATATATAATATAATATATATTATATATTATTATATATAATATAATATATATTATATATTATTATATATAATATAATATATATTATATATATATTTTATATATATAATATATAATATATATATTATATATATATTTTATATATATAATATATAATATATATATTATATATATATTTTATATATATAATATATAATATATATATTATATATATATTTTATATGTATAATATATAATATATATATTATATATATATTATATATATATAATATGTAATATATATATTATATATATATTATATATATAATATATATTATACATAAAATATATATTATATATAATATATATAATATATATTATATATAAAATATATTTTATGTATAATATATATTATATATAATATATAATGTATATTTATATATAAAATATATATTTATATACAATGTATATTTATATATAAAATATATATTTATATACAATGTATATTTATATAAATATGTGTTTAATATATGAAATATATATTTATATATAATATATATTTAATCTATAAAATATATATTAAATATATATTTATATTTAAAAATATATTATATATAAAATACATATTTATATATAAATATATATTTAAGATATTAATATATATTTATATATATTGGAGGCTCTCAACAGCAATGCCTGGGGACTGTGATCCTTGAGAGAAGAAAGGCAAACAAGTTGAGCCCCACAGTTCTCTGGCTTTCTCCTCATGAATGGTTTGTGTTTCTTTTTAAACCACTGAATGAGGAAATGGACTTCAAGCAGAGAATGGGTAGTCTGGTTGAGTGGAAGAAATACAGTGGAGAATAGTCATATGATGGAATTTCACGCCTAATAACAAAAGCAATAAGTATTGATACACACTACAAATGGGTAAATCTCAAACATGTAATATTGAAAGAAAAAACAGAAAAACATCACCTACTTTATGATTCCATTTTTATAAAGACCCAGAGGAAGTAAAACTATCACTACCAAGAACAAGTACAAGTGTTGTTATCATGGGGGATAATGACAGAAGTCAGTATAGTACCATGTACGAATACCAGCGTGAAAGGGGTATGGGCCCTCCTGGCTTGATGGGAAATATTCTCTGTTTTTGTCTGTATGGTGGTTAAATGCCAAAAAAATTATTGTACTGTGTACTTACATCTTTACACTGAAACCTCAATAAAAGCAAATAATAGAAGAATTGAAGGAACAACAAGAAAAAAAAATACTACCCTTATCCCTGACTCTCACTTTCTCTCTCTCTTGAAATCACAAACTTCTATAAAGATCATTACTTATTTTCAATTGTTATTTAGTGCTTTCTTGTGGAATCTATTAATACCTAGCAATAGTAGTATTAGCCTGTCTAAGCTATTCTTGCTAAGCTCATGTGTCAATTGCCAAGTATAACAATTTGCTTTCACTTTTTAAAAATTTTGTTAATAATGATTCTATTCTTATTGAAGCTAACTTTTCCTTTGGTTTTCACGGTATGCCTTTCTCTCTCTCTCTCTCTCTCTCCTTTTTTTGTTTTTTGGTTTTTTTTTGTGCCAACCTTGACATCCTTTCCTCCTCAAAGCTTCTTTGTTATTTCTTAGCCTTTGCTTATTTCTTAAACCAGTGGTTCTCAACTTTCATTGAAATCACCTGGAGGAAGGGACCCTTGACAACATAATGATGCTCATGCATGCATTCATCTTAGAGCAATTATGTCAGAATTTATTGAGATGGAATCTGAAATTTTTAATTGAAAATCTTCTACATAATTTTAATGAATGTCCCAAGTTAAAACTCCTATCTTAAATATTCATGTTCCCCAGGAGTTATTCTATCTGGAGTCTTATCTTCCTACAATAAATGATCTCTGGGTGCAATCTCAACCTTGCCCATTGTCTTAGTAAGCAAAGGCTGAGTTCTTTTGTTATCATAAACAAACCCTACATTTTCAGTAGCTTAATACACAGAGATTTACGGCTTTCTGTTACAAAGTTTTCTCTGGTCTACTGGCCTTCCAGGGCAACTCTCTTCTAAGCAGTGACTCAAAAATCTAAGCTGTTTGCATCTTGTAACTGTCCTATTGGAAACACTGCAGAAGGGAAGAGAAATGGAAGGCTAAGCAGTGAACATTAAATGCTTCCACATGGAAGTGGCACCCATTACTTCCACTCATAGCTCATTCACCAAAAGTCAGAAACCATCTGACTCGGAGGAGTTCGAAAATGTGTGAGAGATTCTACATCTTTGGGAAGCAGTAAATGTCTCTGTCATACTTGTTTTCAACAACCTTTTCCAAATGAGTGTATGTGGCATAGACCTCTGTCACTTGCCTCAGTTCATATTTTTAATGCTCTACTAGAAACCTTGACTTGGTTACTACAAGTTCTTCCAACTCAGTATGTCCCAGATAATTCTTTCTATCTCCTCCTGATCTTCCACTTGTAATCTTGTGAACAACACCAATATTTACCCAATGCTCCAATTCTGGATTTAATCCTTGATTTTTCTTTTAGTAAGCCATGACTGTTCGTCCTTGAAATATCTCTCTAGTCTCTCCTTGTTCCTCTGGTCAAACTGTCATTATTTTGCCTCTAGTTCTCAGTAGAGTTAGATTGGACTACAAAAATTGTCTCCTTACTGGCTTTCCGCAGATATATCCTTTCACTACTGATAGTGTGATTGTTCTTTTCTTTTTTCTTCAAGACAGGGTCTCACTCTGTCACCTGGGATGGAATGCAGTGGCATGATCATGGTTCACTGCAACCTTGACCTCCCAGGCTCAGGAGATCCACCCATCTGAGCCTCCTGATTACCTGGGACCATAGGCGTGCACCACCACACCCAGCTAATTGTTTGTATTTTTTGTAGAGATAGGGTTTTGCCATGTTGCCCAGGCTTGCCTCGAACTCCTGGGCTCAAATGATCTGTCACCCTTTGGAGATATCTCAAAGACTGGATTCTTTGTTCTCTTCTTTTTGTTATTCCCCAATCCCAGCACAAGGCCTGACATTTTCTAAGCACTTGATAGCTCTCTGCCCTTGTAGTATGACTTTTGTAGATCTCTTCAATCTTCAATGACTTATTAGCCTCTATTAGTTTCCCTTTAATTCTTAGCGTGTACAAGGAAGAATAACACTGAATCCATAGTGCACAACTTTGTCTCAGGTTCAGTGAGAATAGCATGAGTTTTGAAAAGGTAGAGAACACAGAAGGAGCCGCCTGGGGTCTTTGGCCAGAAATAAAGGCAGATCACTACAGACCATGCCTGCATTTGAAAGAGGTTTTGAAGTTCTTTGAAGCATGGGGTCATGACGTTTACCACACAGTAGCTTGTGCTGTGGTTCTACCTTGGCTTAGGAGTTCAACTATAGCAGCCTTAATATGAGTACAGAAGCTACAAATCTTCCCTTACCTTGTATCATTCATTTCTGGAGTCTAGACTCTCTCAAATACTTAGGCAAGAAAATTAAGCCTGATGCCCCAGAGCTTCCATCATTGGTAATGAATTAACTTCTCTCTAATGTGGTACTCGCTGCTACCACTCTCGAAAGAATTACAAAAACAGCTAAATTATTTTTATGAGGCTTAATTCCCCTTGAATTTTTCTGCACTCTGTATACGATAAGAAATAGCATCATTTGGCCGACTTCCCAGGGCTGCTGTGTGGATAAAACAAGAGTCCTTATAAGAGCAGTTAACTAATGGCAAATCGCCACACATTTCTTGTCTTTGTATGCGCATAGCCCACATGTCAGGTCTCTTTTTAAGCTATGACCCCTGAATCCACATGAACTGGGGTTCATGCTGTACCAACCAGGAAGTAGGGGTGATCAGTAAGTCCTTTACCACTCCCTCTCCCCTCCAAATCCGATCTACCACCGGGAACCCTTCACTTCCCTTGCACTCCCCTCCATTCTCAGCACACTCTCAGGAGCAACTCATTTCCTTTCTCTAGCATAGAACCAGCAGGGCCAGTTTACCACATATGAGGCCTTGGGAGGCTGGACTTCTATCCTAAAGTGGCCTCAACCAAGCCCTTTCTTATCCACGGAGAGCCTTGCCGCATCAAGTGCAAGGAAGATAAATTGTCCCCATATTATTATTCCAGTCACCAAGAGAACAGCAATTAAATAGTACAAAGCACCTCTTGTTATTCTTTGGATGCCTATTTGCTTCTCCTCTCAATTTAATGTGTTGACTTGAACTTCAGAAATTATTTGAAACTTATTATATTGGAAATGACCATTATAGGAAGCTCTTAGAGGGTTGTGGATTCATTTGGGAGCTAGGGAGGGGGTTGGTGACCAGGTTAGGGCTTGGATGTGGAGCTGAGTGAGCTGTCAGGATTTCATCTAGTCATGCTTGGCTATTGCATGTGATTCCCCAAGCTGGCAGCCTGAGCAGGAGGAGCCATCCGTGCGTCAGTTCTATATAGCACAGCTTCCTTCTCTCGCACCCCAAGATGGAGGAAAGTAGTCAGATCTTCCATGTTGTATAGGAAAGACTACCCGTGTTCCCCCACCAAAAACGTGAATAGAACTTAATGATATAAATAATCTACACGGTAGGACAAAGCGAAAGCCTGAATAACAAGTATGAACGTGGACCACACATGGGATATCAGGAAGCAGACAGGTATTTTTCCTGTCTTTTGACCTGCAGAAATCTATCTTTACACCTTTGTCATGCTGTCTCCAGCATAGAAGTCCCAGACAACTATGACCATGCAAGTCTATCCAATCTCTAATATTCAGTTAAATTCCTTCCTCATCGAATGCCTTCAGTTTCTAGTGATCTCTCTTTACTGAAAATGCAGACTATATCTCAAAACTTAAAATTTCAAGATATCTCATTCTATATTACTTTCTCATTGTTTAATGAATTTTAACTACAATCTTTAAATAGGGTATAAACTAAATACGTTTTACACACACACACACACACCCACACACACAACCTTTGTGAGTCTCTGTAACCAGTTCAGGGGGTCCACAAGGTGCTACCATTTCATATCAGTGTAAAGCTGTATTTTCTTCATATCCTTCAACTAAATCCTACATGTCACAACGGAATGAATGAAGACACGGATATGAGAATACAGCCATCTTTTATCAAACCAGACAATGAATATATACTTAAAAATGTAAATCAGTCATTCGCTTCACTAATGCCTTTGTTTGGAAACACGTAGGGCTTTACAAATTGTTATTTAGTTAAACATATAATAGAATCATTGTTATTTTAAATGATTTATACATTTTTAAAGCCATAATTTCAAAAAAACCTCAAGTTAAGTTATTACAATATGTTAAATATCAATACATATAATCTACATGCCACAAAAGCTATTTGGATTTCTCAATAATTTTTAAGAATCTGAAGGAATTCTTAGACCAAAATGAAAACTTTTCATTTTGAGAACTAAGATTAAGAACTTCTATTCTAGTTTATTGCAGCACTTTTTTTTCTTCTGAGAGTGAGACAGTTCTGCAAACAGCCATGATATATAAAAAGTACAAGTTCATTTCCAGGCTTGAGTAGTGTCTAAAGAAGGTGTGGATTTCTAGCCCCAGAATTTTTGATGTAAAGAAAGAGAAATTGGCCGGTCGCGTTGGCTCACGCCTGTAATCCCAGCACTTTGGGAGGCCGAGGCGGGTGGATCACGAGGTCAGGAGATCGAGACCATCCTGGCAAACACAGTGAAACCCCATCTCTGCTAAAAATACAAAAAATTAGCCGGGCGTGGTGGCGGGCGCCTGTATTCCTGCTACTCTGGAGGCTGAGGCAGGAGAATGGCGTGAACCCGGGAGGCGGAGCTTGCAGTGAGCCGAGATCGCGCCACTGCGCTCCAGCCTGGGAGACAGAGCGAGACTCCGTCTCCAAAAAAAAAAAAAAAGAAAGAAAGAAAGAGAAATTATTTTCTTGCTGTTTTGAGACTGATGTGTGTATGTACCGGAGGATGTGAGAAGGAGTGGGGAAGTAATAAATTATATTAGCTGAATCAAGCATAGCAAGGTGGGTTCAATAAGGGGTGTTATCTCTCCCCTCTGGGCCTTTTCCCTCTATGTACCTCAGTCCTCCCATACACCCCAAAGTCCTGGCAAGAACACAAGGTAGGGTGAGTTTAGCAGACAAAAGATGGTCCATGCAAAGTTTCAGGATTTTTCCAACAGACATTCAACTACTGGTGATATGTCTTCGGTGTAGGAAGATAGGTGCTCCGGAAGCTGGCTGTTTTTAAAACAAAAATAGAGAGGAAGAAGACAGAAAAAATACCTTTAAAACAGAAGTATCTTTCAGGAAGGAGAAGATAGCTCTAAATGGAGCTTGAAAAAAAAGCTTTCTGACCAAACAGATTTTTATGTTTTATTTTTCATGGATTAGTTCTTTGAAGACATATACACTGCTCTTTTGTAAATGCTTAATTTAGCAGAGAAGATTCATTATCTATGTCACTTGCCTTTTGTACATAGACTGATGCATATCTTCTGAGTGTTTTCATTTTTGTACACTCTTCCTAAACACACTTATCCATTTCAACTAATTAAATTATCCATTGTATCTATTACCTACCCACATTTTTCTTGACAGCATAAAGCTGTCTTCCTCTGAATATGTTTATCCTCCTTTAAATCTTTGCCTTGACCTTCACTGTCCCTACATATTCATCTGATTTCTTTTATTTTCACTTTCAACAATTTCCCAATTTCCAATGTAATAATGTAGTCATGTATGAATAGAAGACTGCATTCTAAGTCACAGGACTAATATTTGCAACTCTCCTTTTATTTGATCTTGAATATTTTCTCTGCCTTTCTGTGACTTGAGTATTTGATTTGTAAAATTATTTTAATAATATCCAATTTTTCATATCTCATGGAAAGTCTGAAGGAATAAAAGATTAGTATATGAATCTATTTTGTGTATAGCAACATACTGGTAAATAGACATAATGTATAATATTGTCATTATACTGCATTACTCAGCCATTATGTTTTGACCTCTACACTGTCATTTATTGTCCTCAAGCTGTTATTTTCCTTGTTGGTCTAAGTAAAACCTTCATTCATTTATTCAATAAGCTTTTAGTGAATTGCTGATCATGATCCAACCCTTATATTGGGAACTGTGGATATAACTTCAAGAAATAGGGCTCTATGATTGTCCTCACCATGGAGGACCTACAAATTAGTTCCTAAGACAAAGAGAATGTTTTAACCAGGATAGCCTAGGGTCTGCTGCAGTGACAATTAACCTCCAACTCTCAGGGACTTAACCCAATGTGGTAGGTAGCCTCCACAGATGGCCAGCAGCAAAGCCTCCTCTCCCTGTGTGCCTGTGTTAAACTTCTCAGGAGGGATGAAAACTCCCTTTGAATCTGCTCTGTCCTTGTGACTGCTTTGGCCAACAGCATATGCGGGTTCTAGACCTAATTCTTAAGAGACCTGGCAGTCTCTGCTTTTGCAGAGACCTGGAACACAGCCACCATGCTTTAAGAAAGTTCTGTAGAAAGTCCCTGAAGCATGAGAACACATGAGGGAAGGAGACCATATGGACTGAGACCAATTGAAGGAGTGAGGCCATATGGAGAGGGAATGAGCCCATGGAAGAGAACGGAAGCCAGAGTGAGCCTAGGTGAGACTAGTAGAACTTCTTAGCAAACCTGCTGAATCATGAGAAGTTGTCAATTGCTATTCTTTTAAGCTACTACATCTTGGGTGGCCTTTTATTTATTTATTTATTTTGGAGACAGAGTCTTGCTCTGACACCCAGGCTGGAGTGCAGTGGTATGATCTCAGCTCTTGGGCTGCCTTTTGTTACATAGCAATAACAACTAAAACATAGTACAAAAATTTAATTCACTCATGCTACCTGCTCATCCTGTGTTTGGCAGAAAAGCTGTGTTCCATAGAGTCACACAGGAGCTCAGATTAACAGAAGAAACACTATGTTATAGCTGCCCCATGTGTAATACCAGGCCTCCTTTGTCACTGAAGCAGAGGAAAAGAGCAATTAAATGTGTTTATGTTCTGGAAGTGACCCCTTTCACTTCTGCTCACCACGCCTTGGCTAAATCTGGTAATACGGTTCCAAATAACTGCAAGGGGGTAGAGCAGTGTAGTCCTCCCATGTCCCCTGAGAGGAAAGGGAAATCCAAAGTAGATGAGCACTAGAATATCCTAGGGCATGGAACCTCACAATATAGTGTGCAAAGTGCTAGAATAAGTAAAAATGAGTCCTACCCTAGGTTACTCAAGAGAGTTCCTTTAAATGAGCTAACAGCTCAATTTAAAAGTGAAAGAATAAAAAGGGTAATGCAACAGAGAAAGAAGGTAGGGTCCTTGCAGCCAAAGGGAGCAGTACGGTCAGCAGCATACAGAGGCATGATGGCATGATGAGGCATGATGAGTCATGGTGCGGCATGATGAAGCATGAGGCACAACAAAGGCATGATGAGGTATGACAAAGACATGATGAGTAATGATGAAGTATAATGAGGCATGGTGAGGCATGATGAAGCATAATGACCTATGACAAAGACATGATGAGTCATGATGAAGCATGGTGAGGCATGATACATTCTGAAAAGGGAAGTAGTGCGAGTGGTTGCAGCATAAGTTAAATATCTAGAGATGAAAGTAAAGAGGTAAGTATGTACTATATTTTGAAGGGCTTCATAGAATGCTACTAGGTTCTACTCTGTAAATTATAATGACTCCAAAGGAAAACTTCAAAAGAGGGATAATCTGGACATATTTACAACTTAATGAAGAAACTGTGCAAGTGAAAAATGGGTTGGAATATAGGAATGTACATAGCAGAAAAACTATGAAGACATGAAAATGGTTTTGATGTAAGATGACAGACAATGAATATGAAGGGCAGATTGGAAAGGTAATTCTGAAGTAGAATCAAGAAAAGGTGACCACCGATTTTAGAAATATGGAAAATAAGTGAGAAGAAGAAGACAGGAATAATTGTTGGATTTATTGCTTAAGATACACATTGAGAACACAGAATATGTATCAGGTTTGTGCTGAGAAGAGAGAAAAAGACATTGAGTTCCATTTCAGACATACTAGGCCTGGTGTCTATGGTAAATCCAGATAAAAAAGTGATGCAGGATTGGGCAGAGAGCCTTGAAGTCAGGACGTTAGAGATGAGCATACAGGTGAAATCACTCAGGAAGTAGAAAACGTGGATCCAGAGAGGAGTGCATCACCATAAACCCTGGAGAATCCCACGTTCAATGGCAGACTAGAGAAGAAGGGGGTTCTGGGATTTTACCAATTTCAGAGTTTGAGCTGGCATATTGAGGAAAGGTGTAAGCACAATGATTACTGATTTTAGTTACCTTCCTTCTAGTTGACTAAATGTACTAGTTTGTGATTTCAGTCACAAAAACATAAATCTCAAAGAACATAAATATCATATTTATGTTTTACTGATTTTCGAAAATTTTATGTTTGAGGCTAACAGCTTCAAGAAAAAATACATCTTAAAGAACCTAGTAATCTAATTACATCATTGAAGATCACACACTAAAGGAGGAAAGGATGGTCATGTCCATTTTTTATTTTCTATTATTTTATAAAGATAAGATGAAGAATAATAATTTGGCTTCTGGTTCCCTACAGCATCTGATATAGGAGTCTGCCTAAAACAGATTCCGGAATTGAGTGGCTCAGTTAGTAATTCAGTCCAAAGCAGAAAACAGTGCTTTCCTTCAATGTTTTATTAGATATCAAGTTGAAGGTTATGGTGCGACTTAGCACATTACTGGCTACCTAAGCAAGTTCCTTCCTCTTTCCCCTGTTGGAAGGATGGGGTTTACCCAGCTCTATTTGAGATCTGTGGTTATTTTGATGTAGCCAGTCTAATGTCATTAGACAGGAAAATCTGCACTTGAGCCAAATTACACAAGTGTGTGTCCCGGCACTAACTTTAATGTGCACCTGGGTTTCAAAAAGGAAAAACAGAAACCCAAATTCCTTTCTTTTTCTTTTGGGATTCAGCCCTAACACCATTTTGTTTAAATTTCATAGGTTTAAGTTTCATCAAAGTAGAGTTTGTTTATGTAAAATTACATACCAGATGTGCACTGCCATGGAAGTTGTGGGGTATTTTATTGCCAATATGGTCCTTGTGGATTCCACAATTGTAAACTGAAACCAGGTTGTCTGTGGTTGAAACCATAGACAGTGTAGAAATGTGGTAATATAAGGCCTATGATATCAAAGACAGATCTAATTTTTAAAAAATCTCTTTTAGAAATGGATATCTTAGAGCTTATAAAAGTTGGAGTTTGAAGAAGTGCAAATTAGTGGCAAGATTTTACATTTTTAAAAATATTTTGATGACTCTTGCCACCAGCTGGGCCTATGCTATTTGAGGTGAGATAAAGTACTATATGAGGTCGCTGAGCATAAGTGACATTCTTCTTTTGCAGTAGGGATTGTCAACTTTAGTGCACAGCAATCTCACCTACAGGGTTTGTTAAAATGTAGATGGATTGATGGGCTCCACCCCTGAGTTTCTGAGTCAAGTCTTGGGTACAGTCCAATGATTTGCATTTTTATCAAGTTCCTGGGTGATGCTATTGCTGCTGGCGCCAGGGCCACCCTTTGAGAACCTGTTCATGGCTGATTGATTATCTGGCCAAAGCAAAACTGACCCATGACCGGATGCCCAACGATCTGATGTGAAAAGTTGAATTGAGCCAATGAGCTGCTGCTTTTCAGGAATTTCAATCACCACCAGTGATCAGTGAGGGAAAATCTAAGACAGAACAGTGAAGTAGGATGTTACAGCAAGCCAAACACAAGAACAGTGGTTCTAAAACTCCATCCTGCAGCAGGATCATCTGGAATGCTTAAAGAAAGAAGGTTTCAGAACCATTGCATTAGGTAAGTAGAGGGGATGAGAGAGCAAAATTAGTAAATAGCAGATGAAGCAAATTCATAGGTGTCCAAAAGGAGTAAACAACTAGAACAGTGTCCTCAAAGTGTGATCTCTAATGAGAAGTATCAGCATCAACTGGGAAATTATTGAAAATGAAAAGTCTTGGGCTCAACCCTGAGTCTACTGAATCACAAATCCTGAGGTTTGGGCTTAGAAAACTGTCTGACAGGACCCCAAGATGATTCTGACTCATGCTAAATTTTAGGAACCCATGAACTAGAGTATAGCTGTATTGATTTAGTGACTCTACCTACAAAAGGAAACTTCAGATCTTGTATTTATGACGACCAGTGATATTATTTTACCTCTTCTTGAATTTCCACAAAATTCTTTTTATATTACCATTTAAAACTTTTGAATAAACCCTTTTCTCTGAATGTGGCTTGAGGGCTTACTGCTGCATGCAAATGACTATACTAACTTAAAGTTAATAGAAAATTTCAGCCCAAGAAAGAGGTGATGAATCAAAGAACAATTATCTGCTTTAAACAAATCCCATCCTCAGAATAGTCACCTCTGATTGTTCTTTAGAATCACCTGAGGAACTTTTAACAATTCTAATACCTAGAACATACCATCAACATATATCAGATTCTCTGGGGTTGGGGCCAGACTTCATATTTTTTCAAGGTGATTTTAATGAATAGCCAAGCTTAAGAATAACTCCCTTATTCCCAGAAAGCAGTTTCTCAAAATGCAGATTTGGAAAACACAATCAGTCTTTTTTTTTTTTTTTTTTTTGAGTCAGGTTCTCGCTCTGTCACCCAGACAGGAGTGCAGTGGCATGATCTTGACTCACTACACCTCTGCCTCCCAGGCTCAAGCCATCCTCCTACCTCAGTCTCCCATTCCTAGCAGCTGGGAGTACAAGTGTGTGCCACTGTGTTCAGCTACAATCAGTAATGTTTAAGGTGTCATGGGATATTGGCAAGATTCAATGTGCCTGGAGAAGAACAATTGTTCTCATTGCACATAGAAGGATGGAATGCAAGAGGTATCATTACCATTTCCAACTGAAGAAACTGAAGCTTAGTGGAATCACAATGCTAGTAAATAGCACTAAAAATCATCTAAAGATTAAATGAGGCATGCTGTAAATAATGCAGTTTTCTTCATTGAAAGTGGACAAGTAATATCTGGATGACCTTCTGCACAGATGTTGTCAAAGGAATTCCTGGAGGAAGGAGTTAGGACCAGTTCAAATCTTTCGTCCTTCTGAATCTGTGATTCCTTAATATTTTGCTGATTCCCATTTTGTTATTTCAGAAAATCCGATATTAAACTAGGATTAAAACCATCTAGCAGAATCAATTAACCTTGAAAAGTTATTCATAAAACTATTTGTATTTTATCTGAATTCTACTATTTTATATAAACCTCTTTACACATTTCTAATCAAGATTTGGAAAATATCCATGATTAGTCTTGTCAGTATGCTTTCTCAGTATTTAATACCAAAATACCACAGCAACTTAGTGAAAGCAATGGTAAATTAATATTAAAAATTGCATCTTCATCCCAAACTCTTTCTTGAAAACCAGGATCCTATATCCACTGTCTACATTTCGTCTTCACTTGAACTAAAAGGCATGACCAAATCAAACTCTAAATCTTGTTTTCTGTGATCCATGGTTTCTCGGTAAGTTTTCCCTTCCTCCTTCTTCCCCCAGGCCCCCATTTTAGCTCGAATTTCCCAGAGAAGAGTGAATGTTCCTGCTTTATTGATATTGTTTGGACTTTGAAATGTATCTTGCTTTGGCCAATAGAATACGGAGGAAGTGATAGTGTCAATTTTGAGTGGAGGCCAAGGAGGCATTGTGTGTTTCTTCTTGCTTTTCCGGGGGCTTCTTTTGGCCTTCCATTAGGAGGAAGAATATGTCCAAATTAATTGCTGTCACTTCAGCTCTGGCCTCAGGAAAACTTCTGGAGCAGGGCTGTCCCAGCTCACTCTAGATCTGCATAACTTATTTTTTTGTATGCCATTGCTATTTTATGTTTTGTTGTTTTGTAGCATGATTAATATAGTTTCTAAAATGTCTCCTACAATCTTTCCCTTCTATTTTTCTTTCATTTATATGAAAATCTATGCATGTAAACAAATATAGAAAATATGAAGAATCACAATTTACCCATAATCAAGCTTAGCAATCATAAAAATTTGTGCAATGTTTGTCTTTTGCTTCACTTTTGTACAGTTTTCTCTTTCTCCCCCTCACCCTTGACTTCTCTAGAGTATTACAAAGGAAATTCTAGGTATTATACCATTTCAACCATCCCAACCAAGAACATCAGTATGTATCTCAAAACAAACAAACAAACAAACAAACAAACAAACAAACAGATTGGGCATAGTGCCTCATGCTTATAGTACCAGCACTTTGGGAGGCTGAGGTGGGAAGATCCCTTGAGTCCAGGAGTTCAAAGCTGCAGTGAGTTATGATCACCCCACTGCACTCCAGGCTAGGTGACAGAGTGAGATCCTGTCTCTAAAAACAAACAAACAAACAAACAATATTTTCTATGCTAATAACACTGAAAAATCATTCTCAAATAACTTCTGGTCTTTTTCTAGTGGCATCATTTGTGTTGTTATATGTCTTAAGGTACTGTTAATTAGGCTATTATCCTCTTTCTTAATATTATTAATTTATATTTATGTCATTGACTTGTTGAGGAAATGGGATCAATTATCCCACAGAAATACCTCATGTCCTCTATTGGGTTAAGTGCTGCCTCATGGCAACCTTCAACTTGCTCCTGTATCTTAAAGATACCAGTAGATTAAAAGATAGATTCGAAGGCTTTATTAGATTCAAGTTAAAATATGTTCTGGTTGAGGAGAAGACTTGGCTGTTGGTGCCATGTATGACACACTACATCACATCAGTAGCTATATGATGTCTGGTTATCTAACATTTGTTGGGCTAAAATATGTCATTATTTTATAAATATGTAACAATATTTTTGTTTAGTGTTTATTATACCTACATTGGTATATACGCTTTTCTTTCTTTTATTACACTTATGTGACAAAGGTGACATACTACATACATTTTTCTATTTTCTGCTTTTATTTTACTTTGGAATATATCCTGCAAATAATTCCATTCAGTGTATGGAAATCTCTTTCCTCATTTTTCAAATGTCCATAGTACTCGCCCGTGTAGACAGACATTTGAATTTATAATCTTTTGTTGATAAAAATAATGTCGTATTTAATAAAATTATACATTCATTCCATTTTATTTTTGCAGATGTATTTTGGGGATTGATTCCTAGAATCAGTATTGCTGAATTAAAGCAGGATTTCTGAAGCAAAGACTATATGTAATGTTGTTGGATGTCAAATTCTCCTTCATATGAACTGTACAATTTTGCGTTTTCACTAGTAAAGTGGAGAACACAGACGTTCCCTTACACTTCATCATCAGAATAGATTATCAAACTTTTCCATGTCAGTGTAGCTATGTTTCTTTTATTAGGAGTGAAGTTGAGTGTGCATTCAGAGTTCAAGAGTCATTTGTATTAATTTTTCTTTGAGCCGTCTTCTCATACCTTTTACTATTTTAAAAGGGTTTCTTTTACTATTTTCATGGCAGGTTATCAGTCTTTTTCTTATCAATTTTTAATAACATTTTAAAATATTATGGATATCAATCATTTTATATACCATATTTTATCATTTAACTTTGCCTTTTGGGGAAGGGACATGCAAAATGTTTTATTACTATTAATAAGTGAGATTGTTCTGCACTCTTGGTGCTGTGTGCTTTTTATCAGTCTATGTATCCTCTATAGTCTGTTTTATTTGATTCATTTTTTAAAAATATATATTTTCCTTTATTTTCTATCTTCTGAAATATATTAAATAGTCTTCACAGGTTTGGTGAAATTTTCTCATAAAGTTTTCTGGAATTATCATATGTTTTTTGCTGTTTAAATTTTTCTTCCTTCATGGATATTAATCGGAATGGACTTACTATTTCTACTGGGGTTGTTTTGGTAATTTATATTTTTTTAGTATTTTTTTTAATTTAGGTTTTCAAATGAATTTGAATATATTTTTTTTAAAAAAATTTCTTTTATAATTCTTTTGAGAATTTCATTTGTTTAAAATATTGTTTTCTCTTTGACATTTTTAAATGTTGTGTAATTGTGCTTTCTTTCTCTGTGTGGATTAAGGTGGCTAGTGGTTTGGTTGATTCATTGATCTTTCAAAGAACCAACATTTGCTTTTATTGATTCCTGTTCCTATGTTTTCAATAATTTCTCAATAATTACTTTTCTTTTACTTCTTGCTGCTTTCCTTTGGTTTATTTATGTTTTTCCTAAATTTTTGAGTTGTAAGCTTATTCCATGTATTATCATTGTATTATTATAGATATTTAATGCTCTGATTTTTTTCTGAGTGCTCTATGACTTGTGTTTCATGGACTCTGATTTGAAATGTTTTTATTGTCATTGCTTTCTAATTGATCTTCTGTTTTAATTTACATTTCCCCTTTGATCTAAGAGTTGTTTAATAGTGAGTTTATTTTATTCTAATTTATTTATATTTTTAGTTTCTAAGTAGACAGACCTGAAAAGGCAAAGACAAATGGTCACTATCTATTTATATACTATACTAAAACCATAAATCTTGCTGAATTAAAAAAGCTCATACCTTTACTTTAATGTGTTGCAAACCAAATAAAATCAGCTATTGATTTACAGCATCTCACTTTCGAATAGTTGTTTTCAAATGCTATGAACTAAGCCACATATATTTTTCTGTAGTATTTTCTAAAGTATATAGATCTTAAACCGCAAGAAACATAAATTGTAAAGCTTAAGGAGTCTTCAATATATTTGACCATGCTGATTAAGTACAGCTAGGAGACAAAAATTAACTTCTATTTTTTATAGCAGTCAATAGTAGAGGTAAAAATTTCTTACTAATTGAAGGAGCCCTCTAAGTTGGAAGAGGGGAAAAAAAAAAAAAAGCACACCAACTACCATTCCTGGAACACAATAGAAATTCATTACATGCGATCCTTCCTCTAATTGTCTAGAAGTTGGATGCTCACAATACCAATAAAAAGAACATTATTAGTTGCTTCCACAACTTGGAGTATTGTGTGACCGTAATGTCGATAAGCTTCATTTGCATCAGTTGTAGACTAAGGAGACATTGTTTAATTTTAAGTTTGAGAAAAAATAAGAAGTTGAGATTTTTGATGAAAATATAGATTCATGATAGGTGATAGTGAAAATAGTACTGGAAGCAAGAAGCACTAAAGGCTGGAGGAGGAAGGAAAAGGTAAAAACAGAGAAGAAAGAAGTATAATAGAAAAGACAAAGAAGATTTTAGAGTTTAATTCCGCAAGTAAGATGCAGAATTGCCAATTTAACTAAGTGACAGATACCCAGCACAGTTTTTTGGAGTAATTAGTTCATGTTCATTGACAAAAATACAACTAACACAATACAGTAATCTGACCATAGCGAGGAAAACAACCAAAGGTGACAAAATGGATAGCAAGTTACCCCAAAATGGAGTAGTTCATTTCTTTCTGTCCTCTCACTTAGAACTGTAAGATGCTGGACATGGGGTGCCAAATCACACAAGAAGACTGAAAGGTGGAAAGAGAAAAGCAGACTGCCTAGGAACCCTGAGATTTGAGGAACAAAGTACAACAAATTTCTGGGTTTCTTTTCTCACTCCCACATATCCTGGACCAGAATTTGTAGAAGTCACCAACCAGAACTGCCAACAAACATAGACAAAAAATAGTCCGAGAAAAGCCTGTTGTCCCTAGCTGAAGGATAGGAAGGAGGGTGGCCTAACAACAGAAAAGCTTCTTGGCAATACCCTTTCTTTGTCCCAGCCAGACATCGAAGGAAAAACTGCTCCCCAGCACCCCCTAAGCAGGTTCCACGTAGTGTACTGGGGTTCCAGTTCCAGGTAGTGCCCTGAAGTTCACACCCTCCCCACAGCAAGGAGACTTGACCAGGTGATGCGAGGCGAGACTTGTTCTAATTAGAAATGTATCACCGGACTCTACTGTCTGTGTGATTTCATTTAGCATGCTCATTTCTTACTAGTTTTATTTAAAACCAAAAAAAAAAAAAGCATAAAGAGGAGAATCTGGGGACGAGGAATGATGAACAAGGAGACATGGAGAATCCGAAAAGGAAAAAGGGAGCATGTTCTTGAAGGTAGTGAGCAAGTGAAATCTAGATAATCTAATCAGCCACAAAGGAGAAAGGAAAGAGTAGAAAACTAGTGTAGTTTTATGTCATGAATGCAGAGGGGAGGGCTTTCGAGTAAGAGAAATAACTTGCCAATGATGCAACAAAAGATTTAAAATGATTGAAATGAGAGCTCCCAAACAACGGGTGAGTTGTTCGTATGTGCAAGACTCTCCTGTTTATCCGGACACTTCTCATCTATGACTTGCCTCGACCTTCAGATTGTGCCACATCCGACCATTATTTCCAAAAGATGTGTGTTTTCCTTTCCATTTTGGACTCCTCTGGAAAATAGGAGAACATGTTATTACTAAAGGCAAGGCTTACAAAAACAAAATACAGACGTGTCTCCAGGGGGTCCGTAATGAATACTGAGATGATTAAGAGAGTAAAGGCATTAGAAATTAATGGATCAGGCTGTAGGGACCTGAAGAATGACCAGTCTATGCTGAAGGCCAAATACATAAACTGAATTTTGTGCACAACTTGCTGACTGTGTCTGATTCTTGCTTGATAACTAAGGGTCAAGGAGTCTAATCAAATTTGTGCTATTCTATTATGCACTCAGATGGAGGAGATTCCCTTTGCCGGCATTTGAAATCTGTATGGAAGTACACCATCAGCAAATCCCCTCGTCATCTGTCTGCTCTTCTCTCCTGCCTTTGCCCCTAAGTGCCATCCAGGTGGCTTTCTTTTTTATTTCTTCTTCTTTTTTTAATGTACGGATCTACTGATGGAGGTTGGGAGGGACACTCTTATCATTGTGAGAAATTATAAGCAGACTCCATCTGCATTCAGAAATCACAAAGGGAAGTAAAACAGCTATGCCTGCATAATCCAGATGTTGATGAATACAGGGACCCAGAATGCCCTTCCATCCTTCAAAAACATTCCAAAGCCCAACCTACAATCAAAATCAAGACCATCCAACAGCAAGGAGTTGAACAATAAAACTTAATTACTATAACACTTGCAAGGCCAAGATTCAATAGATTATGTGCTCTTAATCAAAATATAGAATATATCTCTAAAATAAACTTCGCAGTTTCCCAAGATCAGAATTCTCTTAAAACGAAAATAAAAGCTTTGGTTTGTACCAAATATGTTTGTTTTTCCTGCCTAATAATTCCTAGCTTAGAGGATAAGTTAATATTTTTTAAGTAAAGGACTAATATATATCTACAGTAGTGCCTTTTTTTTCTTTCTTTCTTTTCTTTTCTTTTTTTTTTTTTTTGACCCATCTGGTTTGTCAGAAAAGTCTCCTACCTCTGATATTTATACAATATCATGCAAATGTCAAAATCTGAATGTCATCTTCAAAGACCCTTTTATGTCAGGCAACCCCTTTATAGGGAAAAAATAAACAATTTTATGTATGCATGCTTGATGCCAGTCCAATTAATAAAAGCCTTTTTTGCTATGCTTGGCTACAAGCAAGTTTCTCTTTTGAAAATGAACAGAGGGAGAATGAGATAAAAGGTCTGTATTGTTTCCTTGCAAATTTTACAGTTTCATTTTTAATTTGTGTTTGGATGTGAGGATCTTGGTGCAGATGGTGTGATAGTCCACAGTATGTTCTGAGAACCTGAAATGATAACAAAGATATGCAAATGGAGAGGGTGTTTTGGATGAAAGCCAAGATATCCGATTTCACAATAGCTGAAAACAAATTGATGCGCCCAGCAAACTACTCAGAGTAGCACTAGGAAACGTAGCAGTGCCAAAACAAATTATATTAATGACCTTAGCAGTTTGTTGAATTCTATTGGCCAGCTTCATGTTGGTTACATTTGTCTGCATTGGCACTTCATTTACTGTGTAAAACAACTTTTCTAAAAAAATATAAAATAAAAAACAAAACAAAAAAACCTCACCAAACAAAACAAAAACTTAATGAAAAATCTATAGTCATAACTATAAAAAAATTATGCAAATATTTTTGCACCCGAGGAATGTTCAGTGATACTTTAGGTATCAAAATGTAAAAAAATACAAACACGATTTAAGAAAAAATGTCATAAATTTATTATTGTAAGAAAAGACAGTAATTTCAGTAAACAGGATTTAGTAATTAATATGATTCATACTACATAGGGATGTTTAATCAAAATTAATAAAACAAAAGAATTTCAACAAGGAATACTTTTAATAGATAATTTGTTACATTCCATCTGCCAGACTGTAAAAGGGATGGTTCAGAAGGAAGGAGCAAAGAAAAGAGGTAAATAGGGAAGGGAGAGAAGAAAAATGTATTGTAAAAATGGAATCTTACAAATATAAAATCTTATTTATACAGTACTATATTCAGTTATAAATATATATACAATTTTTCAACATTTTATGCTTGAACTAAAAAAATTTGGAAAATGTTATTTATAAGTAATTTTTCTATTGTATCTGGTGTTGGCAGCTTGTTTAATAATTATTAGAATCAAACTTTCTAGAATGAAAGTGTTGCAAATGAAAATGATGTTTTAATCTTAAGTCTTACTAAAATATAATTTAAGACAGGCGGAAGATTATTACTAAAAGTAGATATTTTACTGACACAGATGTATTTTCAAAGGGAAATGATTTACAAACGAATGTCAGTTTTCAGTGCTTATTTCTTGGATAATTCATCTGACCTTTCATTAAGAATGAAAAACAAACAAATGCAAACATAATTGTGGGGATGTAGTTAAACTTTCGAAATCAAGGAAATGTTTCTAAAAGTAACCTGCAAACTCTATTGACGTTTCCATTACTTACACTTTTGCAAAATAACTCACATGTAAACAGTTCACAGCTCCAACCCTTACAAGCCTAGGGTTTCTTAAAAATTGGTGGCACCACTTGTTGCTCAGAAATTAGTCTACTAAATGCAAGAGCCATGCAAATAAGTGATTAAATATGAAGTTTATGAAAGGATTTTGATTTGGGGCTCATGGTGAGAATGAAAAATGTAAGGCACCATTACTGACAGCATGACTCCACATTTCTTATCACATCCTAATAGTGAAAAAGTATTTTAGCTGAAAATTCTCACAGGATTCTATCCTCCTATGAGAAGGGAGCATCTATTCACAATACGACAGATAATAACTGAATGGGACCGAGGCATAGACAAATGCACATTCCCCGATAGAAATGGTCACTTATCCAAATGAAATATTTATCCAGAAACTAGAAATCCACTCTTCATTTTAGGATACAGGATTATTTTTGTCACAGAATTCCTGTTTATATTCCTGCCTTTCTTTTTTCTTTGTATTCTTTTATTTCCAGAATATTTCTGTTTTGAAAATTTTAAAAGGTGAAATGACAGGAAATGGAGAATGCTTTTATTCAAAAAACAGGCAAATGTTATACTGGTGTTCTTTCTACATGGCATATGCCTTTTGATATTAGTTCAAGGTCGACTGGGCTTTGGCAAAATAATGGAAGTCAGAAAATTCCAAGTTTAGTCATGTATAGAGCAACAGGTTAATATGTAACTGTTATGATGAAGTGTAGATATGAATAGTATTTATGTAGAATATCTTGCAGCCAGAAGCTGAAGAATAGGCTATGTAATTAGAAAGTAGCATATCTATTTAAAAAAAAACTCTTCACAAGAGTAGTTCTGCAGAGAAGTGCTCTTGATGTAGGTTAGGCAAATATGAAAAAAGCCTCAATCTGCAATAAATAACAGCTTTTATTAGCTATTTAATCTAAGTAACACCAAAATACAGGGTTTCTGATAAGCCTGTGACCCCTGGTTTAAGGGGGAACCTTAAACCATGTGACCCCTGGTTTAAGGGGGAAAATGCACTAAAAGGAAGATCTTGGAGCTGTCCATCAATTTCTGAGACACACAGAAATCCTGAGCAGTGAGGCAATGTACTCTCTGTCTTCATGCATAATACATACCAAATAGGTGAAGTAGTATGTAAAGTGAATTTTAATTGGTTATAATTGTCATTTCATTTAGTAAAGTATTGTCTGGAGACCAGGATATCAATTAGCACTCTATGGACTCTGTTACTTATGAAAATATGCATATAGAGAGATGATGTGCTCAAGCAGCAGATATACTTTAATTAAGAAAATGGTACAATAATTTAAATACCTTTAAAATATCAATTAATTGCTAAATAGATAGATTTTGAGTATCAACCTGGTAAAGTCAAAATCACTGTGTCTGATTTAAATGAACTTGAAAAATATGTTTTAGTTTTGCTACCTGATTTCTTTTTCTCAAGGCATTCACTTGATATGCTGTAAGAAAAATTCCAACATTAAAAAAATGCACCAAAAAACCCAGAGATGTTTGATAACGATGAAAATTTTCTTTTTTAACTTTAAGCCTCGATATGTATGCAGTTCATGAAAACAGAAAAAAAAACAATATTAAGCCAAGAGTCCCCTAAGAAGATCTCTTTCATATGTCCTTCATTTCCTTAGCATTAATGGATGTTCAGGCATCAATAAGGTAGAAAAAAAGATGATTGATGTATTTCGTTTTGTTATTAAATTGTTGGTAACCAAGGCAGCTTTTCTTTTTTCCTTGGGGATGAAGAGGGACCTGTCCCTTTTTAACCACTTGCTCTGAATGACTTTTATACCCAATATCAGTGAGAAGAGAGGATGAATGTCACCTCTCTTCTCTTCCTCCTCCTGCCGATGCCTACTCCCTCCTTTGATTGACAGCTACTAATAACCTTCCTGCCCTAAGTGCCATGGAGACACTTTATTAGGACAAACAGCCAAGGAAATCTAGGAATGAAGCCAAGTCTGCAGTGAGTTATTATCGGGCTTGTATTTATCTCAGCTTTGTAATTTTTTTCAGTGATATGCAAATCCTGAAATAGATCTTCTGCTGTTGAAGGACAGGTCCCTCTGTTAATTGATCCACTGAGATTCACTCTACCCTCTTTCAGCTCTCAGCCAGGCAAACGTGCTACATGAAAGACGCTCAGAGCTGTACACAGGACACAGAAATTCTCCATGCTCTCCTTCCACAAGAAGAACTTCCATAGCAAAAATGAATTTTTGTTTCGAAAAACACGTTCTCTCTCAATATTATCTGCCCAGTGGATCAAACTGATTTGTTTATTTGTTTATTAGTTGCATAGGAAATACTCTTTCAAATTATAACCAAATGTGATTTCAGATGGGATTTACATTTTCTCTCGAAATACACAGAGCTCACACATATTGTAAATATATTAAAACTAATTCGGTGAGAGCCAACATTTATTTTTTCAGGAGGAGAAAAGAAATGTGGGAAAGACCATGAAGTGGAGAAATCAGTTTTCCTTGGAACAGCTCCTTCTTTGTAAATTAAAAATACAGGTGTACATCCCCAGCCTTTCCAATTCTATAAACATTTATTTTATTTATTCAAAACCATTGTGTGTGTGTGTGTGTGTGTGTGTGTGTCTACATGCACACCTCAAGAAGTTTACCAATAGGACATTAATAACAATGATAATAATAGTAATGTGTCTATATTAAATCTTCATTGACTTGATAGCTTTCTGGCACTTAAAGTGTTTATATGGCATGTGAAGACACCACCGGAACAAAGGCAAACAAAAATTATGAGCTAAATAGCTAAATATTGATTAGCACTCTGCCCAGAATCTGTGTGGCCTTGGAAGAGCCATGGACATAGAATCAGAAAGACTTGATATAGATACTGAGCTCCACACTAATGCTCTTCCTTTCAAACTCAGTTTTTTCATCTGTATACCAAGAATTAATAACATTAATACTTTCTTAATGACATAACATTTCTTCTATAAGCATAAAATAAATGAGTGGGTGTGGAATTGTTTCATGAAGTGTCATTCCAAGAGAAAGTATAAAAATAAGTGAACAATTGCCTTATATCATTATAGTTTATTTTTTTAAGTGTGATCAAGTAAGTTTGAGGAACAGGCTACATTCATAGGTTCATCGTACACAGTAGCTGTTACCTATTCATATTTTATTACATCTGTAATGTACGGAACATATCCTCTCAATTTTGCACATTAACATTTTGCAATTTTCATTAACATAGGAAGCAACAAGCATATTCCTGGTATGCCATTGGTTATTTAAGAGCTGTCTTCCCTTCATCACCGAGATCTGAAACACAATAAAAAAAAAAAATCCAGTGAGGTTTCACTTTATTAGCTCAGGGAATACCTCCACACTCTACGCCCCAGAGCCCCTTTCGGCTGATCTCTCAAGTTGCCATCCCCTAGAGCAGGCTTTCTCAGGGTGGGGAGGGGGCTAATTTTGTTTCCCAGGGGGTATGTGATAACATCTGAACACTTTTTTGGGTTGTCACAACTTGGGAGACAGGTGCTACTGAAATTTAATACAGACAGACAAAAGATGAATGCTGTTAAATATCCTACAACGCCCAGGTCAGCTTCCCCAACAGATAATGATTTAGCTTAAATGTGAATAGTGCCCAGGCTGAGAAAGCCTGCCCTGCAGTTCCATCTCAGTCCTCTTTTCATAAGTGCTTCATATCCATGTGTCTTTGGGAAGGTCTCTTCAATGCTTGGGGCTGCATTCCTTCTAAGCCTTGCCTCCTTGTGCTGTGTTTGGCCCAGGTGAAGCATCTGGGATTCTGCCACCAAGCCCAGCTCAGACACCCAAACTCTTCTTAGGTAGGAGAGTGGCAGGAATAGGCTTTTTCTTGCAGAAAGAAATTGGGCTATTCTGTAGGATTCTGTAAGATAAAAAAAAAAAAAGACTTTCAATTTCCAGTAACAATTTATATTTTAATATTGGCTAAATGTATCTGTTTTTCAATAAAATTTCCCTTAGGTATATAAAAGCTCCTGATGAATTACAAGTGAACACACAGAAAAATGTGGTATCTATATACGGAAGTCACTGCACATGTCAGAGAAATACTGATCATGGTTTACATCGTCATTCAAAAAGTCATTGGACAGCCCAGCAAAATTCTTAGACCTCAAATTTACTATGCATTCAACATTGCATTCATTTTTCACAGATGCTGCTTGTGATAAGGCCTATTCTGCTGTCCATGACTGCCATATCCCAACGAAACTGCTAGTTATCAAGCAGCTAATTCAGTAAGACTTTTTAGACTTTCTATAGCCATATTTAAAAATAAATAGATATAATAAAAGTGTCTCTACAGCTATGAGACTATTGCTTTAATAATTAAATATTGAAAAAACAATATTTGACATGTAGTTTTTTAAAAATCAAGAATAATAACTTCTTTTTCTAAAACCAGTTATGCTTATCAAAAGAGAAAATCTTTTTCAGACATTCTCATCTCCTAAAGGGAGATATATAATATAACCTACTGTTATAATAAGGAGACTTGAAACCATTTAAGTAGAGCAACAGTCATAGTCAAGGAAGCTATTTCTAGATTTCCTGTAGCTCCCAAGAGGAATTAACAAATGTGGTGCACACAATGCAGATTTATATTCTAATCAAATATTACCTAGTTTGCTTAAGTGAAATGTGAACTAAAGGAGAAGTGTGCCTATTATAATGGCACTGAATATGCAAGGAAAAATAACATGGTCCAGGCCCTCTAGAATTTTAGTCTAGTCAGCAAACATGCATTTCCAATTTTTAGTAGGTGATATAACAAATGCTACATTAAGATATAATATTCTCTTGCTAGTCTCAAATAGAAAAAATAGGGCTTTAAATATGCTACTAGACAGAAAGGAATTGTATTTCAGTATCTAAAATGACATGTTCATGACTTAGTCGTTATTCAAATAAATTCAACTTTTTTTTTTTAGACAGAATTTGGCTCTTGTTGTCCAGGCTGGAGTGCAATAGCATGATCTCAGCACACTGCAAACCCCGCCTCCCAGGTTCAAGCGATTCTCCTGCCTCAGCCTCCCGAGTAGCTGGGATTACAGGTGTGTGCCACCACACCCAGCTAATTATTTTTTGTATTTTTAGTAGAGATGGGGTTTCACCATGCTGGTCAGGCTGGTCTCAAACTGACCTCAGGTGATCCACCTGCCTTTGCCTCCCAAAATGCTGGGATTACAGCCATGAACCACCACAACCGGCCACTCACTGAACTTCGACTCTGTTCCAGGAACTACAATATACTTAATGGAGTTTACCAAGATTAGTTTTGCTGTATTCATCACTTTCAAATACTTTATTCTATAGACTGAGCGAGACTGAATCCTTGCTGTGGAATTACCAAGTTCTGTTAATGGACAATTATTTAACCCTGAAGAAAACAAAAAAATTGAAAATAAAATGTCTGACAAAATCATGATCTGGCTCATAAGGTGTTGTAAGCATGGATGATACATATAAAGTTCTGAGAAGAGTGTCCAGAATAAGGTACATGCACAACCAAAGACACAAACTATGACTAGACTTTAAATATGACAAGTGGAGGTAAGCGCAACGGTAAACATCCTTAATCTGCAACCCTCCAAAGTCAGCAGACAATAAATTCAATGGAAGTGTCAATCCATCCATAACCTGTGGTAAACTGAATGCATAACTAAAGTGAGGGAAACATTCCCGTGCCTCCTGGTGTGAGATGGAAAACATTACTGGCTATATTTGGATCCATTATCCATTACTAAGTTCTGGGGTTTGTAAATAATTACGGTGTCAATGGATGCTTTGTAATCATCATTTACCTATCAGGTGAAGAGTCAAAATGGGGAATATTGCCTCATTTTCTTATGGGAACACATGCCTCTTCCATTAACTAGGCATTTCTCTGTCCAGGAAGAGTAGCCTCCAGGGCCACTGAGGTTATTCTGTACGTAAAAGTTAAAGCAAAAACCAAAGTAAAAAAAAAAAAAAAGAAAAGAAAATGCAATAATCTGAGATGTAGAAACAAGATGGTTTGAGGTTTCCTATTAGTATGAAGCAAAATGACTTATTTAAGATCAGCTTTAAAAAAAATAGAATTTTGGAAGATAAAACTGGGAGAAGGGAAAATATAACATTTTAAAAGTGACAATTTCACAATTTGAAAAACTATTAAAATGATATATTCTTTAAGAAATAAAAGCATGTTGTTGAGATGTTTTAAACTGATGAAAACATAGGGAAGAAGTTACCCAGGACTTCACCCTGACCGAACATCACACTGAGGAACAGAAAATATGGATGAAATTATACCATAAGCGTATAGCTGCTAGGCCAAGTTTTGTAACTCTTTACATTACAACAAAGGGATAGTGGGTTGAAGCCGATTCTCATGGGAGACGGCATCTAGAGCTCAAAATAAAAACATGAGTAAAACAATTCTCAAGGATGGCTTCATTAGGATTATTTTAATAAGAATTATTATGCAGGCCGTGCACGGTGGCTCAGGCCTGTAATCCCAGCACTTTGGGAGGCCTAGGCTGGTGGATCACGAGGTCAGGAGATCGACACCATCCTGGCTAACACGGTGAAACCCCGTCTCTACTAAAAATACAGAAAATGAAGCAGTAGTGGTGGCGGGCGCCTGTAGTCCCAGCTACTCGGGAGGCTGAGGCAGGAGAACGGCGTGAACCCGGGAGGCGGAGCTTGCAGTGAGCCGAGACGGCGCCACTGCACTCCAGCCTGGGCGACAGAGCGAGACTCCGCCTCAAAAAAAAAAAATTATTATGCAAAGCAGTTTTATTGTAAGGGCCTAAGAATGCAAAGTGAAAAACCACTAAGCTTGAACAAGACCTCAATAATCTACTCCCTAACAAAAGGCAGTCTTCTGTCCCAAGGCTGAAGTGTGCAACCATGGCCTTTATTCTTGAGCTCCTGCTTCATTTGCACAAAAGCCTTTGCACAAAATACACATGGATGTACATATATATTGTGTATATGTAAATATATGTAAGTAAGCACATATATACAATGTGTATGCATGTAGATATATATGCACAGACACTATAATGTATATGTATTATATATGCTATGTGTGTGTGTGTGTCTGTGTGTGTGTATACATAGTATTTTTTAAAAAGGAGATATATTTGTGGACATAATTTTCCTGAGAATAAACATTTTCAGATATATATCCAGAACAAAATTTTTAAATAAGTCATGCACTAGCTAAAACAAATTAATCACAATATTATTTTACTGCTATTTTGGTATCACAACTTGGGTTTCTGCAAATGAGTGTCATTGGCTGATGTTCCTGTGCATTGGATCACATTCATATTCAACCAACTCAAAGATGTTCCACTCACTGCTCACACCCACATAGATGTTTATTTTAAGCAAGTCATCAGAATGTGTCAACTACAGTTGTCAATATGGTACTTTATAAGAAAAAGCATTGCGTGTGCATTTTAAGTAATTTAACAATTAAATTACTAATTAACTAAATTTAATAATTAAGTTATTGATTTGATAATGCACAAAGTTACTTCAAACTGGAAAATAAGGAATATGAGCAAAAATTGAATCAGTTTGCTCGAAAGAGCAAATCTCAAAGACTATAGAAGAATGTGACCTGACTTACGAATTATCTCACCCAAGCCCACACCCTCACCTTCCTGTGACAGTTAATGATGCTCGATACTCATTTTCGAGGCTTCGAATGTCAGGATTCTAATAATGCAGCTGTTGGAAACTAACAGGGAAACTGCCCAGCCCTACATTTTTCATTTTCTCCTTAATGTATATGTGTAAGCATTTTTTAAAATACTCGAAATTTGTGTGCTTTGCCTTTTATTTCTTTGGAACTTTTAAGAATGTCTAGCACAGGTATGCAATAAAACAGAAATAATAGTAGTTCTATTAATGCTTCTGAGTCCAGGACATTCCTCAACAGTGTTTTACTAAGGGACCAACATGTAGTGCCTCCTCAATGGGTCTACTTCCTTTGGAATAAAAGTAAACTTTGAGGCTTGGACCAAAAGCTGCCTCTAATATTCCTCACTCTTCCTCTTGCATTCATTCCCATGACTTCCTCCCCTACTTTATTCCTAAACTATTTGAAATTAACTTTCAACTTTGATGAAAACACAGGAAAGAAGACACTACCCAGAACATCACCCTAACTGAACATCATGCTGATGAACAGAAAACATGGATGAAATTATAATATATACATACCGCCGCTAGGTCAAGTTTTACAACTCTTCTCATTTTAACAAAGGTATAGGAGCAATGAAGCAGATTCTTACAGTAGATAGCATCTACTCAAAATTTTAAAAATGAGTAAAACAATTCTCAAAGATGGCTTCATTAGAATATTATTCTAATAAGAATTATTACCCAAAGCAGTTTCATTGTAAGATTCTAAAAATACAAAGTGAAAGACCCCTGGGCTTGAACATGCTGTTTCCTCCTCACTCACATCCATTCCAGTTCCATGTCCTATACATCACCTATGTCCAAGTTTAAAATGCATCTCTAGGATATCTTAATCACATGCACTTATGTCCAGGATGCTTGCTCTCTGCAGGTGGTACAAGGGTCTCCTTCCCTATACTGACATGCCATGCTATCTGTGTATATCACCACATCTATTAATTTCTAATCTGTCTACTCGTGTCTCAGAAAAACCAAGGAGTGTCTTTCATGTTTGTACCCTTTTGCCTGCTACAGTGTCTGGCACTTAAAAGGGCCTCAATAAATCTTGAGTGAGTAAATGAATGGATGGATTTTCTTTCTTTTTTCTGGAAGCATTAGAGCATTAGAGTGTCCCAGGAGCTTATACCTTAGTTCTGTGTTAAATTGTGTTTTCTGAACTGTAGCATTCATTATCATGCTGAGATAAATTTACCAAACATTCGTTTGAAAAGCATGAGCAGCCCTTAAATTAACCTCAGGACAATTACTGTGTGTATCAGTTTGTTCCAAAATGAATGACCAGAAAAGAATGTGACTAGTTTTATATTTGCATAAAATATAATTATACAAAAATGCATTATTGATCCAGATAATTTTCTTCTTGAACTTCACAAAAGGCTCTAGAGGCTTAAATATGATCAGTGCGTTTAGTTCTCTTTCAGGAAAGAAGCAACCCAGGGGTCAGAACTAGTTCTTTCCTGAAGCCAAGGAATGGGGACAGGGAGGACTCTTTGCTTTGTGTGATGGCTAAATTAGTTGTCAACTTGACTGGATTTAGTAACACCTAGAAAGCTCGTAAAGCAAATTTTGGGGTATGTCTGTGAGGTTGTTTCCGGAGGAGATTAGCATGTGAATGAATAGACTAGTTGGGAAAGGTCTACTATGTGGATGGGCCCTAACCAAACGGTATGGGGGCAGGGTACAAAAACAGAGGAAAGGCAAATGTGTCCTCCGGTGTCCTGGAGCTGGGACACACTCTGCCTCCTCTTTCTTGGACATCAGAACTCGAGGCTTCTGGCGTCTGGACTCCAGGACGTGCACCAGCAGATCCCTAGGTCCTTAGGCCTTCACTTTCAGACTAAGAGTTACACAGTTCAGTTCCCTGGTTCTGAGAGTCTGACTTAGGCTGAGACACATCACTGGCATCCCAGCATCTTCAGCTTGTGGATGGTCTATTGTGGGACCTCCCAACCTCCATAACTTTGTGAGGCTATTCCCTTAATAAATCCCCTCTCATATATCTATATGCATATCCTCTTGGTTCTGTCGGTCGGGGGACCCTACCGAATACACTGTGCACCTATGTGTCTGTTTGTACACAGTTGTGGGGATGGGAGGAATGAATGGGGTGGGAACAGGTTGGAAGCTGAACAAGGTAATGGGAGATTTTAAAAACTAACGGGCAGGAAAATGTCAAGCAATGCAAGCAGAGGACTGATGTTCACAAAATCTGGAGGGGAATCTGTAGCATCCCCAAACTCAAAGAGCCCAGGGGACCTGGAAAGTTTCCAGTAAACAGCCAAGGTTCTGAGGTCCAGGATGAAAGTAAACAACACATGATTAAAAGGAATGGAGAAGAGAGGGGCTGAACTTCTAGAATACTGGTTTCTAAACATCTTTGCTTGTATACCCAATTAACAAAATTATTTTGAACATGTACTCTCAAAATAAATATATTTTTTAATTAAATTATGTGCATGTACTATTGTCTATTGTATATATGTAAAACTTTCAAAGCTAGAAATGTGAAAGAATGAGAAAAACTGTGTCCAAGAATCTCTCCATAGTTTACTTATTTTTAAAGGGGAAAAAGGGAAAAGTTTTTAATTATAATGAATATATCTGAGGGACACTGCCATAACCAAGTGATCAAATTGAATGTCAACAAAAAAGTGACAAAGTGACATAATTTATCCTATTGAGACATACTGAGAATAGCAATTCATCACCTATGTGGCTTGCCTGCCAAAAATATTTATCCTAATGTAATCACAGGAAATGAAAGGTATCCAGATCATAAAGGAAAAAGTGAAGATATCTCTAGTTGTATATGACATAATTTTGTATACAGGAAATCTTATGGAATCTTCAAAAACTGTATTTAGAAAGCTAATAAGTGATTGCAGCATTATGCACAAAATTAATTCTATTTCTACATTCTAGCAACGAACACTTTGAAAGTGAAATAAAGAAAGCAATTTTCATTACAATAGTATCAAAAATAAAATTCTTGAGAATAAATTTAATAAGAGAAACTTGCACATCGGTAACAAAAATAACTTCATGGAGAATAACTAAAGAAGACCTAAGTAAATGGAAAGACATTACTCGTTGATAGATTTGAAGGCTCAGGATTGTTTAAATAGCAATACCCACCTACTCCAAATTGATTAGAGATCTCTTTTAAAATCTCAGCCTCCTTTTTATCAGAAATTGATAAGCTGATTTAAAAATCCATATGAAAATGCAAATGACTCATAATGCTCAAAACAATCTAGTAAGAAGGAAAACAAAATTGGAGAACT
The DNA here is from genome assembly GCF_000001405.40 of Homo sapiens. Classification (NCBI taxonomy): domain Eukaryota; kingdom Metazoa; phylum Chordata; class Mammalia; order Primates; family Hominidae; genus Homo; species Homo sapiens. Next base: position 103,457,736 of record NC_000002.12, read on the forward strand.
CACATTTTCTGACTTCAAACTTACTCCAAAGCTACAGTAATCAAGACAGTGTGGTAATGGCTTAAAGATAGTCATATAGATCAATGGAATATAATTTAGAGGCCAAATTAAAAACAACAATAACAACCAAAGCACTTACAGTTACAGTCAATTTATTTTGATAAGGGAGTTAAGGAAATTTAAGAGAGAAAGAATAATCTTTTCAACCAATGATGTGTGGCAACTGGATGTCTTTATGAAAAATAGAACAAACAATTAAGTTATACTTGTAATTCACAATAAACAATTAAGTTATACTTATAATTCACATATTCACAAAATGTGCAAAAAAAACCTTAAAATGAATACCTAAATATAAATGCTAAAACTAAAAAACTCTTAGAAGAAAACAAGTATCACTCTTGATAATCTTAAATTAGAAAATAGTTTCTTAGATATGACACCAAAAGCACAAGGAACAAAAGAAAAATACATAAATTTACTTCATAAAAATGGAAACTTCGGTGCTGCAAAAGACATTATCAAGAAATTCAACAGACAACCCAAATAATGTAATACAATATTTTAAAAATCATATATTTGATAAGTCTAGTGTCTAGAATATATGATGCATACACTTACCCATTAAAAAGACAAATAACCCAATTTAAAAATGGACAAAAGATTTGAACAGACCTATTTCCAGAAGAGATATACGAATGGCTAATAAGGACAGGAAAAATGCTCAACAAAGTCATTAAAGAAATGCAAACAAATCACAATTAGGTACCACTTCACGCTGACAAGGATGGCTATGATAAGCAACTCAGACAAGACGTATAAATGCCACACATGATTTTTGATTAATGCTTTATATAAAAGAAATAAATAGAAAACATTTGATTGTGACAACTGGCACTGTATACTGGGTACTAGTAGTATATCAATGTTAGTTTCCTGAACATAACCCTTATATTGTGATTGTAGAGAAAAATATCCTTATTCTTTAGAGATGCTCAGCTAAATATTCAGGCTTTTGTTACTCTGATGCTGGCAACTCTTAAACAGTTCAACAGCAATAATTTTTAAAATTATGTATATAGAGATGAGGTAAATGTAGCAAGATGTTAATAATTTGTAAATCTAAGTAAAGATATAGGGTTGTTTCTTTTAGTTATGCTTAATAATTTTTGTGTTGTATGTTTCAAACTTTTCAAAATAAAAAATTAGGAATAATAAATAAAAGGCTAGAGTAATCATAAATATAAAAATCAATATTGTTATATTTTTAACCATACTTCAATGCATCATCTGTGCTAACATACTTTGGAGATGATCATGTCTGGCAAAAAGAGATTTAGTTTCTAGGATCTGGTGGTTTTGTGTGTTAAATCTACTTTTAGAAGTCTTAAAACTCTCTAAAACTTTTAATATGTATTTCAGGCACCTCCAAATATACTGTTTAAATATCTCTATAAACCTACGGTTCCTCTCAAAATTTAATAAGTAGCAGCACTTCAGTTAAAGAACAAATTAAAAGCTTCTGTTATTTGAAAAGTAACCTGTAAAGACCATTAAATGTTATTAACATCTTTGAATGGGCATAAAGTGCCTTGAAAAGTTAGAGATGTTCTCAGTTGAGCAAAGCCATCAACTCTGGACTTCTTTTTCCTGGGCATTGATTGTGCTCTCAATCCTCTGAGCATGCTGCATGAGACGTATTGTGGCTTTGTACAGCAGTGAGGGCACCAGTTACACCCTGATGCATTTTCATAGCCTCTTCCTAATAGTGCCACCTGCTGTAACGGGGACATGAGGCATGAAAAAAATTGTACCTCCTTGTGAGAAATACCTTTCTCTTGCAAATACAGATGTAACTATCACCACTAGAGGTAATAGTAACACACAAAATATTGGGGGGAGTTCTAATAGAAAAGAGTCACCTTCCCCACTTACAGATAGTAATTCAAAGCCCCTCAAAAGATTTTTCTTACCCTCATCTTTTCCTCTGGCTTCTATGTTTTTCCTATATTCATTATAGATTGCTTTTCTGTGAATTCGTTGAATTGAAAGAAACATTATGCATTGTTTTTCATATGTTATTTTATATTAGAAATCACAATGTTTTTTCAATTGCTAGGGCAAAGTAAAATAAAAAGAGAAAATTGTTACTAGTCATAGCACCTAGAAATAACAATACTGTGATTCAATTGTTCTGGCAATGTTTCATTGGGATGCACTATACTTAGATGATGTAGCAGGTGAAATTGAAATTCTGATGGGTGAGAGGAAGATCCTGAACCCAGAATTCATTATTCATCCTAGAGTTCATGTAAGAACCATGTATTGCTCAGTATTACAAGGTAGTAAGGAAAAATAAAGTCAGTATCTCCCTAAGTCACAAAAATAAAATTATATGAAGGCAACACTATCACCATCTTTATAATATATAATATATAAATATATTGAATATTGTATGTATATATTAGACAAATTTGTACACAGACACACAGGATGAGGTAGAAAAAGAAGATAAAGCCAATTGGAGAAACTATAACCAGCCAGAGAATCTGGTCAAAGGATATAGGAGAGTCCGTTCTGCTACTCTAACACATTTTTTATCTGTTTGAAATTATGCTTCTCATTTTTTAAAGAGTTGGGGTCTCACTCTGTCACTTAAGCTGGAGTGCAGTAGTAAGATCATAGCTCACTGCAGCCTTAAACTCTTGGGCTCAAGTGATCCACCTGCCTCAGCCTCCTGAGTATCTGGGACTACAGACATGCACCACCACTCATGGTTAATATTTTCATTTTTTGTAGATACAGGGTCTTGCTATGTTGTCCAGGCTGATCTCAGATTCCTGGGCTCAAGTGATCTTGCTGACTCCATCTCCCAAAACAATGGGATTACAGGTGTGAGACTCCGTGTCGGGCTAAAATTATATCGTAATAACAAATTACTTAGAAAAATCTAAATGCTCACTTCCTCAGAAAATATAGGACACACCTTGACATTTCCCTTTAACTATTTAGCAATAGTTTTTTGTCTTGTTTTCCCTTTGTTGAGTTAATCTAAATAAAATTATACCTGCTTTGACACATCAGAATTTTAAAAATATTTTCTCAAGATGCCCATGGCCTCGTAAGTGCTATGTGTACAAATTATACCCTTTTCAAATCTTACCTTTTATAGCACTTTATGGTCCTATATATGAGGTATTTTGAGACGGGAGCACTTTGTGGTGGTAGAAACTTCAGATCATTTATTCACCTGATTTCTTCAAAAATTTGGTGAAATCATTATGGTAAGTATTATTATGCCCATTTACAAATGAGAAAACTAAAAGTCATAGTGAATAATTGATGTCATACAGTGTGTGCATTCTGAAGAAACTGACATCCACTTCTACATCCTGCGGTGTGGGGTCCAGTGTAAAAGGCAGTTCACTACATGGCTTGTGCCTCACTGTATTAGTTTCCTAAGGCTTCAGCATTCAGTTACTATGAGTTTAGTGACTTCAAACAATACAGATGAACTCTTACAGTTCTAGAAGTCAGAAGTTTAAAATGTCTAGAGCTGCATCCTTTCTAGGGATTTATGGGAGAATCTTTCTCCCCTTTTCCAGCTCCTAGCAGACACCAGCTTTCCTGAGCCTGTGGCCCCTTCCTTGATCTTCAAAGCCAGTATAGCACCTTTTCTCTGACCTTCTGCCTCTCTCTTACAGGGATCCTGATGATTCTGTCAGGTTATCTGGATAATTCAGAATAACCTCCCATCTCAAAATACTTAATTACATCTGTAAGGTCCCTTTTTCCATGTAATGTAATATATTAGTAGGTTCCATGGATTAAGATGGGCACATGTTTAAAGAACCATTATTCCACCTAAAACAATCATCTTATAAAAAGATCCACACACCAAAAGCTTCCAATTAGTTTTTTAGTGTCTCTTATTTATTTTATGATCAGTAGAAACAAAAATAAAAACAAATCTGAAAATACAAAAGAAGATAATAAATTAGAAAGCAATTGAGGTGGTGCAACATCTGACTAATGGAATTTCAGAAAATGAAGAGATCGTTAGCAAAAAAAAAAAAAAAAAAAAAAAAAGACATTTCCCCTACTAAAAACCATAAACTCCAGAAATAAAGGGTACAAGACTTTAGATTTAAAATCCTAAGGACAAAGATCAATAACTGATAAATTTCAGGACCCAGGGCATGAAGACGATTTCCCAAAATTCCAGAGGGGTCAGGGAAAACAGCTTTACTAGAGATATTTGGAACCAGGTGGCTCTAAATTTCTCAAGTGATGATATCTGCTTTGGGAATGTCAAAAACTATCTTTACATTTTTTAGAAAAAAAGTTTTTCCCAGAGATTTCATATTCAAACAGTAAAACAAGGATGCTATAGTTTGAATAACTGTGTCCCCTCCAACATTTACCATAAAATATGATCCTCTGTGTGATGGTATGAAGAGGTGTAACCTTTCTGAGGGGATTAAGACATGGGAGCTTAGTCCCTGGGAATGAGATTAGCACCCTTATAAAAGGCTTAGAGAGAGCGGGCTCCTCCTCTTCCATGCTCCTTCAAGGTGAGGTCACAGCAACAAACCTCCATCTTGGAAGCAAGGGCAGTCCTCACCGGACACTAATGCTGGTTCTTTGATCTTAGACTTCCCAGCCTCCAGAACTGTAAGAAATAAGTTTCTGATCTTTGTAAATTGCCTGCTGTAAGATATTTTGTGATAGCAACACAAATGGAGGAAGACAAAGGGTGATGGTTGAATAAACTTTTTGCAGATATGCAAATAAGTTTCAGATAGGCAAAGACTAAAATAACTTGACTTCCCATATATATTTTCCCAGCAACCTACTGTAGGATTTTTTTTTGGCAAATAAGAGAGTATGCCTAGAAAGCAGAATTTCTAGAATTCAGGAAACAGTCTTCACACTATGAAATGGTAAAAAGTCACCCCAAAAAGAGAGCTGTGCAGCAGATGTGGAGAGCAACCAGTCACAATCAAAACAGAAAATACACTGCGATGAGACGTAGCTCTTAAGGAAGGGAGAAGAGGGAAATTTTGCATTTTTAACAAGTTTCCAGGTGCTGCTGATGCTTCTGGTTTTGGATCTGCACTTTGAGGACCATCATCCTAGGGCATCAGTGGCCTCTGTGGCTGAAGGCTTTTTGCTGACTACAGGGGTACAGCAACTTAGTTACAGCCAAGCCACAAGTGCCCTGGAATTAACAGCCCTCAAAGTGGAGGAAGTCACTGGATAAATACCCTCACTTTCATGCCTTTAGGTAGGAGAACTCTGAATCTCCAGATGGGTAACTGGCTTCATGATGAATTCCTTATTGGCTTGTCCCTCTTCCTTGTCTCACTTCACCAATTTTCTACCAATGTTTCTTGAAATAACCTCCCAAATAAGCTTCTGGGAGAACCCAAACCATAATAGTGAGTGCTCAAGAAAATTAGTTTAATTAAATGAGCATAAAAACAATTAAAAAAATTAAACCTCACAGTAGTCCATTAAAATACTTTTGTATAGGCATCTGTTTGCTTTTATCATGCACTGCTGTTCAAATGGTTTATCTACTGCCCAAGAATTAACAGTGAGGCAGCGTTGGAACTTTAAGTCTTATCTACCAGTCTACTGCTTAAAATGATTTTTAAAATCATATTAGTCATTTTCTTCAATTTCAAAAACAAATTTCCAATTGGTTTCATTGAAATTTGAGCGGTCCTGTGGAAAGTAAAATACAGTAATTGCTGTTTATCTACCAGCTACGACATTGTTGGTAGACTTATAACTGACACAGAAACTGAAGAAAGAAATTTAAATGATTTTTATTGATGCAGACTTCCAAAGAGTAACATTTCTTTTTTTTTTTTGAGACGGAGTCTCGCTCTGTCGCCCAGGCTGGAGTGCAGTGGCGGGATCTCGGCTCACTGCAAGCTCCGCCTCCCGGGTTCACGCCATTCTCCTGCCTCAGCCTCCCAAGTAGCTGGGACTACAGGCGCCCGCCACTACGCCCGGCTAATTTTTTGTATTTTTAGTAGAGACGGGGTTTCACCGTTTTAGCCGGGATGGTCTCGATCTCCTGACCTCGTGATCCGCCCGCCTCGGCCTCCCAAAGTGCTGGGATTACAGGCGTGAGCCACCGCGCCCGGCCAGAGTAACATTTCTACACACTAAGCTGGGAACAAGGAAATCTGTCAAACAGGAAGCACTTTTAAAAGCTGAGACATGAGAATAATGCTCGTCAGTTTTCCTTGGTGGACAAAATGAGAGCGAAAGGTTTAGATCCTAAAAGAAAAGAGAAAGAGAAAGAAGTGCTTTTCAAAGCCTGGGTGATACTGCAGGTGACAAGGACCCCACTGCCTGAGGGCACTTCTATGGGCCACTGCAGCCTTCCTCCCACATACGCTGGTGAAAGGGTGGTTTTATCCTCAGGCAAAGCTTCCTGGATTCAGTGAAAACCCCTTTCGAACATCAGATGGCATGTCACAGAGCTGCACACTGTCTCCTCCTGGGCTTATAATGAGTTTTCCTCACTGCTACTACCTGAGCCCCAAAATGCACATTAAAGGACACTGTCAATTAATGTTTGGATCAAAATGTGACCTACATTACTACTGACTGTCATGGAGACAGTTCTGCAGAGTCCAAATGTCTACTCATATATTTTCAACACTCTATTAATAAGAAGGTGTAATATTCAATTAAAAAGAGGTGATCCCTTAGGAACCACAAAAACAAAAGAATTCTGTATATTACCATTGGTTATGTGATATCATTTAATAAATTAACTGTTCCCTTGGAGCTATGCTCTTATCACCAAGAATAGAGAGAGATTCAGAAAACTTGGGCTCAATACCCCCAACTTTTTCACTGAGAAGTCAGATCCCCTTACACAAATCTCGCCCCCTTTTTCAGTCCCAGTGCCTTTCTTCATAAAAAGGGGACATTTGACTGCGTGACCTCAAAGTCCACTTCCAACTCACATTCACTTACCTCTCTCTTCGTTTATACTGGTACTTCACTTTCTCCTGGAACTTCATGAAAGAAAAAAGCAAAACAGGGCTAAAGAAAAGGCTGGAGTTTATCTGATGTCGAAAGACTAAAAATAGCAAAAACAATAAAAACATAACTAAATATAAATGTATTTACAAAGAAAAACAGGCTTCCCAAATCATTTGGATATTTGTCCTCTCCAAATCTCACGTTGAAATTTGATCCCCAATGTTGGAGGCGGGGTCTGGTGGGAGGCGTATGGGTCACGGGGTCAGATCCTTCATAAATAGATGAATGACCTCCGGGAAGGGTGTGAGTCAGTGAGTTCTCCCTCCATTAGTTCGTGAGAGAGTTGACTGTTAAAAAGAGACTGGCATCTCCCACCTTGCTCTCCTGCTTCCTGTCAAGCCATGTGATATCTGCACACACCAGCTCACCTTTGCCTTCTGCCATGAATAACAGCAGCCTAAAGCCCTCACCAGAAGCAGATGTTGGCACCATGCTTCTTATACAGCCTGCAGAACTGTGAGCCAAGTAAACCTTTTCTTTTTAAAACTTACCCAGCCTCAGGTATTCCTTTATAGTGGCATAAAGGTACTACATGACTTCAGGTTATTTTTTTCTTTTATTGTAGTAGAACTGTACAGCTACAGGTTCTTCTTCTGTCTGCCGTCTCAAAAAGAGCATCACCCTTCATGCTCATGTGTAAAGGTGATTGGGGCAGGATTTCAGAATCCTGCTCTGACCCGTAAAGACCTAGAAGTTGTTACTTTTTCAACACGTAAAAAAATAAAAAATGAAGAAAAAACCTGAAAATTAATAACTGTTTTTAAACCCATCAGAGAATCTGGCTATACTGCTATCTCAAAATCTGGAAAGGTATATGAATCCAGAGATCCAGGGTTACCTGAAACAAAACCACTGGAGTCATAAACAAGTGGGAACACACGAACAGTAATTTTGACAAATTGCTAGAAGCTGCATGTGGACTGTTGTGAGAGTAAGAGGCTCACAATTTTAGGGGAAGCACACATTTTCATAGGCTTTATCTGCAGGACCTTATTGGGTTATTATGGTAAAAATTTGCACAAGATCACGTCGTGGCTCTGGATGAGGGAGGGGAAAGTAATCATTATAAAATGTATGAACTCCCATAGCCTTCTATATAATGAAGATCTACCTGCCAGACTATGCCAGAGCCTTATACCACTTGGGGAAGGTCATTTCCCTGACTTCAGCCCCTTCTAGTCTTCCTGTCTTAAATATAAGAATGAGGGTTAAGAAACAATGGTTAGGCCGGGTGGGGTGGCTCACGCCTGTAATCCTAGCATTTTGGGAGGCCGAGGCGGGTGGATCGAGATCGGGTGGTCAGGAGATCGAGACCATCCTGGCTAACAGGGTGAAACCCCGTTTCTACTAAAAATACAAAAAATTAGCCAGGCATAGTGGCAGACCCCTGTAATCCCAGCTACTTGGGAAGCTGAGGTAGGAGAATGGCATGAACCCAGGAGATGGAGCTTGCAGTGAGCCAAGATCGCACCACTGCACTCCAGCCTGGGCAACAGAGCAAGACTCTGTCTCAAAAAAAAAAAAAAAAAAAAAAAAAAAAAAAAAGAAAGAAAGAAACAATGGTTAATGACACAGACCAGGAACAAACGCCCACGAAAAGATTTAATCATAAGATTGTAGACACTTCCCTTCCTTCACAACTTGCCACCACAGGGCTCAAAGAGCTGTAAGACATGGACTCTGTCTAAGAAGGAAATTTTAGTAAAGCCCAGAAACAACAGGGAAGACAAGGGCACTAGAGGAATTTGAAGCATCTCTCACCTACAGCTACAGCAAACCTTAAACACAGCCTACTTCCTAACCAGACTAGCGTGAAACCTCACACTAGAATCCTTTTTATCACAATTTCTAATACTTGAAACAGTATATTCAGATTTCAACAAAGAAGTTACAGGCATAATAAGAAACAAGAAGAAACTCAAACTGAAGAGACAAAGCAAGCATCAGAACAAGACTAAAATATGGCACAAATTTTGGAATGATCAGACAGGGATTTAATCATAACTTAATATGTTAACTCTAATGCAAAAAAGTAGAAAATATGCAAAAGAGGTGGTTAATAGAAACAAAAATATAGAAACAGTAAGAAAAAAATGCAAAAACAAGAAATCAAGAACACTGTAACAGAAATGAAGAATGACTTTAATTCACTCAATAGACTATATAGGATGAAGAAATAAATAAGTGAGCTTGAAGATATGTCAATAGACATTTTTCAAGCTAAATTTCAAGAGAAAAAACATTAAACAATGAAAAAGCAGAGCAGAACATCCCAGAACTGTGGGAAAATTTCTAAAGATGTAACTTTTGCAAACTCTAAGGAAATCACAAATATTTTCAAAGAGTATAACTGATATACTAAGAGAGGAGGTACGGTAGAATATAAAATGCTGAATTAAAACCAGAGAAAGCCAAAAAAATGAGGAAATAAAAGAAGCAAAAAATAAGTGTAACAAATAGAAAACAGTTGCAAACAAGCTATCCTAATAAGCCTATTAAAAATACAAGAAGCTGAATTAATTTTTTGTTTTTTTTTTGAGACGGAGCCTCGCTTTTTCGCCCAGGCTGGAGTACAGTAGTGCGATCTCGGCTCACTGCAAGCTCCGCCTCCTGGGTTCACGCCTTTCTCCTGCCTCAGCCTCCCAAGTAGCTGGGACTACAGGCGCCCACCACGGCGCCCAGCTAATTTTTTGTATTTTTAGTAGAGACGGGTTTCACCGTGTTAGCCAGGATGGTCTGGATCTCCTGACCTCGTGATCCACCTGCCTCCACCTCGCAAAGTGCTGGGATTACAGGCGTGAGCCACTGCGCCTGGCCTTGAATTTGAATTTTGTATAATATTGTGTGATGTTTTGGTATAAGTATGACCCATGAAATATATGGGGCAACTTACTCGAACTATTTATTAAAATATAATCAATAATCACTTTAACTGTAAATGACCTAAATATATCAATTAAAAGACAGAAATTTAAAAAGTGGGTATGTTGTCTACAAGAAATTATTATTAAATATAAAGACTCAGCTAGATTAAAAGTGAAAGAATGAAGAAAGGTATGCCTTGCTAATACTAGTCAAAGAAATTTGTCATACCTATTTTAATTTCAAACAAAGCAGACATTAGAGCAATGAAAATTATCAGGAAAAAGAGGAACGCTTTAAACTGATAAAGGGATTACTTCTCCAAGCAGTCACAGCAATCCTTAAGGAGTATGTAGCTAACAAGAGTATCAAAATACGAGAGGCAAAAATTGGTATAACTACAAGAAAAATAGACAAGCCTACAGTTATAGTGGAAGACTGCCAATGCTTCTATTTTAGTAATTGATAGATCAGACAGACATAATATGAGTAAGGTTATAGTTGACCTGAAGAGCACCGGCATCAATTTTATCTAACTGACATCTATAGGCACTAAATTCAACAACAGCAGGGTATACGTTGTTCTCAAGTTCAAATGGAACATTCACAGGAAAAACCACAATCTGGGAAACTCAACACACATTACAAATTTTAAAAGAAGATAAATCATATAAAGCATATTCTTAGACCACAATGTAATTAAACTGGAAATTAATACCAGAAAGCAAGCCAGAGAATTCCCAAATTTTGGAGGAAGAAAGTATACTTCTAATAACACATTAGTCAAAGAAGTCTCGAGAAAAATTAAAACATATTTTAAACAAAAAATAAAAGTGCTTTTTATCAAAACTTGTGGAATAGCAGAAATAATGATTAGAGAAAAATTTATAGCATGGAATGCATGTATTAGAAAAGTAGAAGGATCTAAAACCATATTTCTCAGCTTCTACTTTAACAATCTCAAGAAGGAAAAGCAATATAACCCTAAAGCAAGATGGAGAAATAGAATAAATTAAAGCATAAATCAATGAAATAGAAACTGAAAACCAATAAAGAGAATCAACAAAGCTAAAAGCTGATTCTTTCCAAAGAGTAATAAAATCGATAAACCTCTAGACATAACAAAAAAAAATTTTAAGAGTCAAATTAATAATATTAGACATGAAAGTTGGGTCATTACTAATGATATTATGAATAATAAAAAGAAAGTAAAAACTTTATTTCTAGCTAATATAAATGCCAACAAATTTGATAATTAAATGAAATGGACAAAATTCCTTAAAAGATACAAACCACTAAAATTCACCCAAAGAGAAATAGATCATCTTAATAGCTTGTAACTGTTAAATAATTTAAATATATTATTAATAACCTTTCATAAGATAAAGCACCTAGCCTAAATAGTTTCAGTGGTAAATTCTACTAAATATTTTTAAAAGAAATGATGTCAATTCTTCACAATCTCTTCCAAAAAGAAACTGGAGCAGAGGGAACACTTCCTAACAGAGCCAATGAGGCCAGCCTTCTCCTTACCAAAATCAGATAAGGTATTACAAGAAAAGAACAGTTACAGACCAATTTCTCCCATCAATATTGAAGCAAACAACCTTAGCAAAATATTAGCAAACAAAATCCAACAATATGTACAAATAAATTTTTGATATGGTTCAACATTAAAAAATCAATCAATGTTGTAATCTATCATGCCAATACACTATAGAAGAAAGATCCTATTATCATCTCATTTTGGTACCAGAAAGGGGTCCATATCCAGACCCCAAGAGAGGGTTCTTGGCTCTCTCACAAGAAAGAATTCAAGGTGAGTCCATAGAGCAAAGTGAAAGCAAGTTTACTAAGAAAGTCAAAGGAATAAAGGAGTGGCTACTCCATAGGCAGAGCAATGGCTTGAGCTACTCAACTGAGGACACTGTTACTTCTTGATTATATGCTAAAGGAGGGATTGATTATTCATGAATTTCCCAGGAAAGGGGTGGGCAACTCTTGGAACTGAGAGTTCCTCCCCTTTTAGACCATATAGGGTAACTTCTGAAAGTCGTTATAGCATCTATAAACTGTCATGGTAGTGGGAGTGTATTGTAGCTTGCTAATATATTATAATTAGCCTACAGTGAGCTGTGAGGACACCCAGAGGTCACTCTCATTGCCATCTTGGTTTTAGTGAGTTTTGGGTGTCTTCTTTACTGCAAGCTGTTTTATTCGCAAGGTATTTATGACCTATATCTGGTGCCAACCTCCTATCTCATCCTGTGGCTTAGAATGTCTAACCTCCTGGGAATGCAGCCCAGTAAGTCTCAGCCTTATTTTACCCAGCACTTATTCAAGATGGAGTTGCTCTGGTTCAAATGACTCTGACATTTCCTGCCTCCCTTTTACAAGGGAACCCTTAATCCTAAGGATTGCAGATGTATGAAGATCCATCTTCTGTAACTTCTTCATGCTGAATAGGGGCAATTATATTCCTGCCTAAGTATTAGGGTCTTTTGTAATCAGGGTAGAGAGGAGCTCAGCCAGAAAGTGTTAGTATGGTAAGGGCCGTTCACAACTCTGAGTTCTGACAAAAGATGATATCTGGAAGATTAATAGGTGTTCAGTTTAAGAAAACATTTGGTAAGCTTATCCTGCATTCCTACACAAAGAATACAATAGCAATATATTCCAAACAGCAAAGCAAAATTATCCCAGGGAAACTAAATAAGAAGGTTTTCCATGAACTGGGCAATTGTTGGAAACAGGCTGATATGGGGTTGCTAGCTGATTCCAAAAAGTGTGCAGAATTAGAATATTGATTCAGGTTTTTACATTACCCATCTCTCGTGTTTCTTCTGAGCAGCAGCCAGAGATCACTGGTTGGTTCACAGGAATAAGAATTAGTTTAAATGGCAGACCAAAAAAACTCAAAAACAACTGATGAGACTAGAATCTAATAACAAGTGTGCCATATTCTTGAAATATAATTTTTTCTCTCCCCAATTTTCCATTTTTAAATTTATTTTTAAATTATACTTTAAGTTCTAGGGTACAAGTGCACAACTTGCAGGTTTGATACATAGGTATACATGTGCCATGTTGGTTTGCTGCACCCATCAATTCGTCATTTACATTAGGTATTTCTCCTAATGCTATCCCTCCTCCAAACCCCCACCCCCTGACAGGCCCTGGTGTGTGATGTTCCCCACCCTGTGTCCAAGGGTTCTCATTGTTCAAATCCCACCTATGAGTGAGAACATGTAGTGTTTGGTTTTCTGTCTTTGTGATAGTTTGCTGAGAATGATGTTTCCAGTTTCATCCATGTCCCTGCAAAGGACATAAACTCATCCTTTCTTACAGCTGCATAGTATTCCATGGTGTATATGTGCCACATTTTCTTAATCCAGTTTATCATTGATGGACACTTGGGTTGGTTCCAAGTCTTGCTATTGTGAATAGTGCCACAATAAACATATGTGTGCATGTGTCTTTATAGGAGCATGATTTATATTCATTTGGGTATATACCCAGTAATGGGATAGCTGGGTCAAATGGTATTTCTAGTTCTAGATCCTTAAGAAATTGCCACACTGACTTCCACAATGGTTGAACTAATTTACACTCCCACCAACAGTGTAAAAGCACTCCTATTTCTCCACATCCTCTCCAGCATCTGTTGTTTCCTGAGTTTTTAATGATCACCATTCTAACTGGGGTGAGATGGTATCTCACTGTGGTTTTGATTTGCATTTCTCTGATGGCCAGTGATGATGAGCATTTTTTCATGTGTCTTTTGGCTGCATAAATGTCTTCTTTTGAGAAGTGTCTGTTCATATTCTTTGCCCACTTGTTGATGGGGTTGTTTGATTTTTTCTTGTAAATTTGTTTGAGTTCTCTATAGATTCTGGATATTAGCTCTTTGTCAGATTTTGACAGATGGGTAGATTGCAAAACTTTTCTCCCATTCTGTAGGTTACCTGTTCGCTCTGATGGTAGTTTATTTTGCAGTGCAGAAGCTCTTCAGTTTAATGAGATCCCATTTGTTTATTTTGGCTTTTGGTGCCATTGCTTTTGGTGTTTTAGTCATGAAGTCCTTGCCCATGCCTATGTCCTGAATGGTATTGGCTAGGTCTTCTTCTAGGGTTTTTTTCGTTTTAGGTCTGACATTTCAGTCTTTAATACATCTTGAGTTAATTTTTGTATAAGGTGTAAGGAAGGGATCCAGTTTCAGCTTTCTATATATGGCTAGCCAGTTTTCCCAGAACCATTTATTAAAGAGGGAATCCTTTCCCCATTGCTTGTTTTTGTCAGGTTTGTCAAAGATCAGGTGGTTGTAGATGTATGGTGTTATTTCTGAGGGCTCTGTTCTGTTCCATTGGTCTATATCTCTGTTTTGGTACCAGTACCATGCTGTCTTGGTTACTGTAGCCTTGTGGTATAGTTTGAAGTCAGGTAGTGTGATGCCTCCAGCTTTGTTCTTTTTGCTTAGGATTGTCTTGGCAATGCGGGCTCTTTTTTGGCTCCATATGAACTTTAAAGTAGTTTTTTCCAATTCTGTGAAGAAAGTAATTGGTAGCTTGATGGGGATGGCATTGAATCTATAAATTACCTTGGGCAGTATAGCCATTTTCACTATGTTGATTTTTCCTATCCATGAGCATGGAACGTTCTTCCATTTGCTTGTGTCCTCTTTTATTTTGTTGAGCAGTGGTTTGTAGTTCTCCTTGAAGAGGTCCTTCACATACCTTGCAAATTGGATTCCTAGGTATTTTATTCTCTTTGTAGCAATTGTGAATGGGAGTTCACTCATGATTTGGCTCTCCGTTTTTCTGTTATTGGCATATAGGAATGCTTGTGATTTTTGCACATTGATTTTGTATCCTGAGACTTTGCTGAAGTTGCTTTTCAGCTTAAGAAGATTTTGGGCTGAGATGATGGGGTTTTCTAAATATACAGTCATGTCATCTGCAGACAGGGACAATTTGACTTCCTCTTTTCCTAATCGAATAACCTTTATTTCTTTCTCTTGCCTGACTGCCCTGGCCAGAACTTTCAACACTATGTTGAATAGAAACGGTGAGAGAGGGCATCCTTGTCTTGTGCTGGTTTTCAAAGGGAATGCTTCCAGTTTTTGCCCATTCAGTATGATATTGGCTGTGGGTTTGTCACAAATAGCTCTTAGTATTTTGAGATATGTTCCATCAGTACCTAGTTTATTGACAGCTTTTACCATGAAGCACTGTTGAATTTTGTCAAAGGCCTTTTCTGCATCGATTGAGATAATCATGTGAATTTTGTCATGTCTTCTGTTTCTGTGATGGATTATGTTTATTGATATGCATATGTTGAACCAGCCTTGCATCCCAGGGATGAAGCCGAGTTGATCCTGGTGGATAAGCTTTTTGATGTGCTAGCTGGATTCAATTTGCCAGTATTTTATAGAGGATTTTCGCATCAATGTTCATCAGGGTTATTGGTCTAAAATTCTCTTTTTTTTCTGTCTCTGCCAGGCTTTGGTATCAGGATGATGCTGGCCTCATAAAATGAGTTAGGGAGGATTCCCCCTTTTTCTATTGATTGGAATAGTTTTAGAAGGAATGGTATCAGTTCCTCTTTGTACCTCTGGTAGAATTCGGCTATGAATCCATCATGTCCTGGAATTACTTTAGTTGATAGGCTATTAATTGTTGCCTCAATTTCAGAGCCTGTTATTGGTCTATTCAGAGATTCAACTTCTTCCTGGTTTAGTCGTGGGAGGGTGTGTTGAGGAATTTATCCATTTCTTCTAGATTTTCTAGTTTATTTGCATAGAGGTGTTTATAGTATTCGCTGATGGTAGTTTGTATTTCTGTGGGATTGGTGGTGATATCCCCTTTGTCATTTTTTATTGCATCTATTTGATTCTTTTTTTTCTTCTTTATTAGTCTTGCTAGCATTCTATCAATTTTGTTGATCTTTTCAAAAAACCAGCTCCTGGATTCATTGATTTTTTGAAGGGTCTTTTTGTGTCTCTATCTCTTTCAGTTCTCCTCTGATCTTAGTTATTTCTTGCCTTCTACTAGTTTTGAATTTGTTTGCTCTTGCTTCTCTAGTTCTTTTAATTGTGATGTTCGGATGTCAATTTTAGATCTTTCTTGCTTTCTCTTGTGGGCATTTAGTGATATAAATTCCCCTGTACACACTGCTTTAAATGTGTCCCAGGGATTCTTGTACATTGTGTCTTTGATCTCATTGGTTTCAAAGAACATCTTTATTTCTGCCTTCATTTCGTTATTTAACCAGCAGTCATTCAGGAGCAGGTTGTCCAGTTTCCAGGTAGTTGTGCCATTTTGAGTGAGTTTCTTAATCCTGAGTTCTAATTTGATTGCCCCGTGGTCTGAGAGGCTGTTTGTTGTGATTTCTTTTCTTTTACATTTGCTGAAGAGTGTTTTACTTCCAATTATGTGGTAAATTTTAGAATAAGTGCAATGTGGTGCTGAGAAGAATGTATATTCTGTTGATTTGGGGAGGAGAGTTCTTTAGATGTCTATTAGGTCTGCTTGGTGCAGAGCTGAGTTCAAGTCTTGTATATCCTTGTTAACTTTCTGTCTCGTTAATCTGTCTGATTTTTACAGTGGGGTGTTAAAGCCTCCCATTATTATTGTGTGGGAGTCTAAGTCTCTTTGTAAGTCTCTAAGGACTTGCTTTATGAATCTGGGTGCTCCTGTATTGGGTGCATATAAATTTAGGTAGTTAGCTTTTCTTGATGAATTGATTCCTTTACCATTATGTAATGGCCTTCTTTGTCTCTTTTGATCTCAATTGGTTTAAAGTCTGTTTATCAGAGACTCGGCTTGCAATCCCTGCTTTTTTTTTTTGCTTTCCTTTTGCTTGGTAGATCTTCCTCCATCCCTTTATATTGAGTCTATATGTGTCTCTGCACATGAGATGGGTCTCCTGAATACAGCATACTGATGGGTCTTGACTGTTTATCCAATTTGCCCGTCTGTGTCTTTTAATTGGGGCATTTAGCCCATTTACATTTAAGGTTAATATTGTTATGTGTGAATTTCATCCTGTCAGTATGATGTTTGCTGGTTATTTTGCCCATTAATTGATGCAGTTTCTTCATAGCATCGAAGGTCTTTACAATTAGGCATGTTTTTGCAGTGGCTGGTACTGGTTGTTCCTTTCTATGTTTAGTGTTTCCTTCAGGAGCTCTTGTAAGGCAGGCCTGGTGGTGACAAAATCTCTCACCATTTGCATGTCTGTAAAGGATTTTATTTCTCCTTCACTTATGAAGCTTAGTTTGGCTGGATATGAAATTCTGGGTTGAAAATTCTTTTCTTTAAGAATGTTGGCCCCCCCTCTCTTCTGGCTTGTAGAGTTTCTGCCAAGACATC
Organism: Homo sapiens; assembly: GCF_000001405.40. Taxonomy (NCBI): domain Eukaryota; kingdom Metazoa; phylum Chordata; class Mammalia; order Primates; family Hominidae; genus Homo; species Homo sapiens. The sequence goes on from NC_000002.12 coordinate 103,475,039, forward strand.
CACTGTTAGTCTGATGGGTTTCCCTTTGTGGGTAAACCGACCTTTCTCTCTGGCTTCCCTTAACATTTTTTCCTTCATTTCAACCTTGGTGAATCTGCCAATTATGTGTCTTGGGGTTGCTCATCTCGAGCAGTATCTTTGTGGTGTTCTCCGTATTTCCTGAATTTGAATGTTGGCCTGCCTTACTAGCTTGGGGAAGTTCTCCTGGATAATATCCTGAAGAGTGTTTTCCAGCTTGGTTCCATTCTCCGCATCACTTTCAGGTACACTCATCAGATGTAGATTTGGTCTTTTCACATAGTCCCATATTTCTTGGAGATTTTGTTCATTTCTTTTTATTGTTTTTTCTTTAACCTTCTCTTCTCACTTCATTTCATGAATTTGATCTTCAATCAGTGATACCCTTTCCTCCACTTGATCGAATTGGGTATTGAAGCTTGTGCATGTGTCATGAAGTTCTCGTGCCATGGTTTTCAGCTCCATCAGGTTATTTAAGGTCTTCTCTACATTGTTTATTCTAGTTAGCCATTTGTCTATCCTTTTTTCAAGATTTTTACCTTCTTTGCAGTGGATTTGAACATGATCCTTTAGCTCAGAGAAGTTTGTTATTAGCGACCTTCTGAAGCCTACTTCTGTCAACTTGTCAAATCATTCTCCACCCAGCTTTGTTCCACTGCTGGCGAGGAGCTGTGATCCTTCAGAGGAGAAGATGCACTCTGGTTTCTAGAATTTTCAGCTTTTCTGCTCTGGTTTCTCCCCATCTTTGTGGTTTTATCTACCTTTGGTCTTTGATGTTGGTGACCTACGGATGGGGTTTTGGTGTAGATGTCCTTTTTGTTGATGTTGGTGCTATTTCTTTCTGTTTGTTAGTTTTCCTTCTAACAGTCAGGTCCCTCAGCTGCAGGTCTGTTGGAGTTTGCTGGAGGTCCACTCCAGACCCTGTTTGCCTGGGTATCACCAGTGGAGGCTGCAGAACAGCAATTATTTCAGAACAGCAAATATTGCTGCCTTATCCTTCCTCTGGAAGCTTCGTCCCAGAGGGCACTCACCTATATGTGGTGTCTGTTGGCCCCTACTGGGAAGTGTCTCCCTGTTAGGCTACACAGAGGTCAGGGACTCACTTGAGGAGGCAGTTTGTTCATTCTCAGAGCTCAGCAGCTATGCTGGGAGAGCCACTGCTCTCTTCAGAGCTGTCAGACAGGGATGATCCAATTTTCCATTTTTACTAAAAACAAATCATGGTAAGACCTATTTGCTTTATTATACTTGGCTATTTGTATAAAGTACAGCAAGGTCTTCTTAGCAGCCTGTAACTGTTAAAGAATTTAACAGTTGGCTTATTTGTATAAAGCACAGCAAGAATAATCATTTTTCACATAAAGTTTTTTTTGTTTGTTTTCTTTCTTTTTTTTTTTTTCAGGTTGGCTTTATGGAACTTTGTTCTATAAAAGGAATCTCACATAAGACGTCTTTTGAAGCCAAGCCCAGCCATGGGTTTGTACCCTCAAATAGCTATGAATTGAGTAGATTCCTCTCCTCTTGAGGTCCCAAGATAACTTGGGGCTCCTGGAACTGTCAGAAAGTGACATTCTCTACTCACCACAGGTCCCTGTACAGGGACTGTATAGGCAAGGTATGAGGCCAGAAAAAGATATACTTTATAATTTGATTTTGCAGTTTGTCAACTCTCAAAGGTTTAAGACATTTGATAGAAAAATAGAATTTCAAGTCACCAAAAGTCACTCATTTAGCCAAAATGACAACTCAGATATTTTTCAAAAGCACGACTCTATACTCACTGAGAGAGGAGAGAATCAGCTTTCTAAACAAGACACAATAAAGACAGCATGATGCCAGCTGAATCTGTCTCTTCTCTCTCCCCTCCCTTTTTCCTTGTCATTTACCTAAAGACACAGCCAAAAACCTTTCATTATCTTTTAATATTACATGAAAGCCTTTTCAAAAGAGAAAACCAAATTTTATGTTTGCATTAGTGCATCTTTAATGATAAAGCTAGTTTGTAATAATATTGTATAAATGTAACCAGTTTTAAAAAGTTTGACCGTAAGTTATGATTTTCATAAAGCTCTTATAACTCTTTATAATTTTTGTTAAACAGATCAATTGTCTAAGAAAACCTTGTTATTTGGCCACATGGGTTCAGATTCTGGCTCCAAATCAGTATGCTTTTATTTTAAGGTTTTAACCTACGGGGAAAACAAACCTAAATAATCCCCTTCAAATCTTAGCCAATTTGCTTATAGCCACAGAACCTTTTTTACAAGATCAACCCTTCACAAATCCTTTTCAACTTACTTTAAACACTCAGTTTTGTCCCCTTCTTTTAGGTTAAGGCAATCTTTAAAGCCCTCTGAACTAGACAAAATTACATTCCCTTTAACAAAATCTGTATTCCCATGCTTTTTTATAACCTCCCACCAAAACGTCATTCTATTTTCCTTCCATACTTTGCAAACTTGTATGTAAAACTTTTTACCCAGTAGTCCCAATTACATGTTACAATGTTAACTCTTAGAAACTATTATTCTTGGTGAAAAACCTGATAAATAAGCAATTTTTATTATGTATTAGGTTTGGGGCCTAGGACATCAGACAGAACTGCAGATGAGGTCTGACTTTTTCCAGCATAGCTAGGGGGCACGGCTAACTCCACATATCTCCAGGACCTAATTAGAATCTAATGCTCCAAAGTAGGTAAATTGAACAATTTTCAAAAGTCAAAAAAGCAGTTTATGACCTTAAAGCCTTTTGCAACCTAATATCTGAGCTGCATAATTTAGACCAAATGTCCAAGTTTTTGAAGATATTTTGACCTATGGGGAAAAAAAAACTAAATAAACCCCTTCAAATCTTAGCCAACTTACTTATACCCATGGAACCTGTTTTAACAAGATGTTTGGAAATAAAGTAATCTTTGAGGAAATAAAGACAGTTTCTTTTTTTTCAAAACCCAATAATCTTTAAAATTGTCTTTATTTTCCCAAATATTACTTAAGTTACATGAACTAAAAGGCATTACAGTTTTAATTTTTCTGACAAAATATTTGATTTAAACTCTTATTATTTTTAAACCAATTACAAACACATTCATATGTAGACATCACACACAAAACATATACAAACACAGAAGAAGATCCGGCAGTTGTAAGATTTTTCATTTGCCAACTTCTTAATTGGATTACTGGCTTCAGGGTGGAGATCTTGCAGGAACAGGGTCAGGAAAGCATGCAGGTTCTAGAGCATAGTAAGCAGACACAGATAGAAGGCAATACAGATCCCCCCAAAATTAAGGGTCTAATTATTTTATAACAGATCCTGGATTCTCCCCAAAAAAGAAATACTATAGAACAAGACAGTACAATGATTTTATGGTGCATTTTATTGCCAAGCAACTCAAAGCCAATTAGCCCATTCTGTTATCAGCCCATCCCCTATGGGAGTCTTATCTCTCAGTGGGGGATGGCGGGAGGGTGGTGGATGGGGTCATCTTCATACCTTCTAGGTGGCCAAGACCATGCTTCTCTGATCCAAATATTCAAAAAGCCAAGAAACCCCCCATAACTGCCATTAGTTATCCCCAATGCTCTTATTTCCTATCTAGTTATTACACACCAAAGCTCTCTCAAAATGTGAAGTGATTTCTGATACCCCCAAAAGTAAAAATCATTAGATAATGCAATGCAAAATGGAACAGAGTCTTAGATTTTTGAGAGGAATGTATCTGTTTTTAATTCCTGGGTTTTCATGAGGAAAACAGAGGTTATTTGCCAAATGGGGTCTGTAGTACCTCCTTTGTTTTTCCCTGAGAGTCCCAGGCTATTATATCCCCCTTTTTTTTTTTTTTTTTTTTTTGAGATGGAGTCTCACTTTGTCACCCAGGCTGGAGTGCAGCGACACGATGTCAGCTCACTGCAAACTCCGCCTCCCAGGTTCACGCCATTCTTCTGCCTCAGCCTCCCGTGTAGCTGGGACTACAGGCACCCGCCACCACGTCCAGCTAATTTTTTTTTTTTTTTTTGTATTTTTAGTAGAGTTAGGGTTTCACCGTGTTAGCCAGGATGGTCTCGATCTCCCAATCTCATCATTTGCCCACTTCAACCTACCAAAGTGCTGAGATTACAGGCATGAGCCACCGCACCTGGCCTATATCTGCTTTTAATTGAGCTAACTATTAACCATAGTGCCCTGTCAAGAAAAAATATCTTTTAAAGTTTCTCATTGCTCCACTTTAGCCATGCTAAACTGCCAATATTTCTGGCTTTTGGACTTTGCTAAAGGTAACCTTCCAGGAGCTCAGAGAAAGGAATATTCAAGGTGGCTCATGGAGGGGAAGAGAATCAATAAATGGTAAAGGTCACAGATATGAAATGAGAAAGGACTCATTCCTTAAGCCAGGAATGAACCCAGGCTGCCATTGTAAAATGGCAGAGGCTTAGCTACTAAGCTACAGCACTGGGCAGTCTCTATTGCCCTTCCCAGAAGGAGCCTAGAGCAGTCAATTTTGAGCTTGCAAAAGCTTTTAACTGCTCAAGATAATTTTTAGGGCTATGACATGAACCCCCAAACTCCTGTCCTCTGGATGGCAGAGACCAAGAGAAAGTACCACTATGTGGTTATAAGGTTAAACTCCCAAGGACATTTTTCAACATGTGGTCCCTGGCAAGATGGTCACCCTGAGTAACAGAAAAGATAGGAAAGGGAAAGGAGAGAAAGAGAGAGAGAAAAGCATTCCCTGCAGCAGGCTGGGGAAGGAGAAGAGTTCAGGGAGGCCAGAGAAAGACCCATCCATTGCAGCAACACTGAAAAGTTTAGGCAACCACTTATCAGTTGTGAAGGGATCTTTTCCAGCTGTCTTATCAGCTCTTGAGTTTCCCCTTTTGGGGAGAAAAAAGCTCCCCAAGTCCTATAATTCTGTACTTGCCTAATCCTGTCACCCACAGGCATCAGCAAAGAGTTCAAGGCAAATTAATACAAAGAGAATAGCCATTAACATCCCATAGTACTGAACCTGTTCTTAGCCAAGAGGGACTTTATTGAGAGGGACTTCTAACCCACTAAATCTTAGGAAGGACTCTAACCTTCCTAAGTTGGCACTCGAACTCAAGTTTGGTCAAGTGTCCTCGCCTTTTATTAAGAGGGGCCTTTAACCCTCTCTGACTTAGGAGAGACTTTAATTCCCCTAAATTGGGCCTCTAACCCAATCCCATCCACTACCTGGGTAAATGCACCCCACTTACTCAAAGTCTTCCAATTGGTGCTGCAGTCTATTTCCTTGGAGTTGAGGGTCTCCTCAGTATCGTCCCTTCATGGTCTCCAGAAAGATATTACCAGAAAGAGGTCCTGATCCAGACCCCAAGAGAGGGTTTTTGGATCTCACACAAGAAAGAATTCGAGGCTAGTCCATGGAATAAAGTGAAAGCAAGTTTACTAGAAAAGTAAAGGAATAAAGAATGGCTACTTCTAGCCAAAGCAGCCCTGAGGGCTGCTGGTTGCTCATTTTTATGGGTATTTCTTGATTATATGCTAAACAAGGGGTGGATTATTCATGAGTTTTCCAGCAAAGGGGTGGGCAATTCCCAGAACTGTGAGTTCCTCCCCTTTTTAGACCTTACAAGGTAACTTCCTAAAGTTGCAACATTTGTCGATTGTGGTGGTGCTAGGGAGAGTGTCTTTTAGCATGCTAATGCATTATAATTAGCATATAATGAGCAGTGAGGACCATCAGAGGTTACTTTTGTTGCCATCTTGGTTTTGGTGGGTTTTGGCTGGCTTCTTTATTGCAACCCGTTTTATCAGCAAGGTCTTTATAACCTGTATCTTGTGCGGATTGCCTATCTCATCCTGTGATTTAGAATGCCCAACTTCCTGGGAAAGCAGCCCAGTAGGTCTCAGCCTTATTTTACCTAGCCCTTATTCAAGATGGAGTTGCTCTGGTTCAAAAGGCTCTGACAAGTTGAGTAGAAAAAGTATTTGACAAAATATACCACCCATTTCTAATAAAAACTCTCAGCAAACAGAAAATAGATGGAAATCTACTTAACTTGATAAAGTTTATATAAAAATATTCTGTAATTGACATGATTCTTAATGTTGAAAATCTGGATGCTTTTCCCCTAAGATCAGGAACAAAGCAAGGATGTCTTTTTGAACCACTCCTATATAATATCACACTGAAAGTCCTAGCTACTGCAATAAGACAATAAAAACATATAAAACATATACAGATTGGGAAGAAAGATTTAAAGCAGCATTTCTTTGAAGATTATTGACCTGATTTTCTACGTAGCCTATCTAAAGAAAGGGCAAAATAACTCCTGGAACTGATAAGCGAATATACCAAACAGGCAGGATACTAAGTTAATATAAAAAAGTCAGTTCTTTTTTTTAATATTCAAGTAATGAACAACTGGAGTCTGAAATTTTTAAAAGAGTACCATTCTAAGTAGTACCAAAATAATGAAATACTTAAAGGTCTAAATCTAACAAAATATGTCAAGGAAATAGATACAGAAAACTACAAAACTCTGATGAAAGAAATCGAAGAAGATCTAAATAAACAGAAAAGTATTTCATGTTAATGTGGTAGAAGACTCGATGTTGTTGAGTAATTCTGCTCAACTTTATGTATTGAACACAATCTCAATCACAATTTCAGCAAGCTATTTTGTAGGTATCAATAAAATGACTCAATGCTTTACATGAAAAGGCCAAAGACTGAAAAATCCAATGACATACTGAAGAAGAATAAACTTGAAAGAATCACACTATCAATTTTGAGAATTACTATAAAGCTAGAGTAGTCAAGAAAGAATTGGTATTCGTGAAATAATAGACATTCAGATCAGTTGAACAGAAGGGAGAGCCCAAAAATTGGCCCATACAAATGTAGCCCACTGATTTTTGATAAAGAAGTGAAGTTAATTCAATAAAGGGTTCCAGAAAATTTGGATGAACCTAGACACAGACCTCACACCTTTTACAAAAATTGTCATAGTAGATCACAGACTTAAATGAAAATGAAAAACTATAAAACTTGTACAATAAAATAGAAGAAAATCTGAAAGATCTTGGGATTGGTGATGTGTTTTTATGTAGAATAGACTTCTTTTAATAATATAGCATCACTACTGGTGTATTAATTATAACAAATGTAATGTGAGATGTTTATAAGAGAGGAGATGGCTTGTGGGGTATATGGGAACTCTGTACTATCTTCACTATTTTTCTATAAATATAAATTTATTCTAAGAAGTCTATTTTTAAAAATATAGGGAGCTGAATTCAATTTGAATTTTGAATAATACTGAGTGATTTTTTTTATTTAGTATATAGTATGTCCCATGAAATATTTGAGGAATATTTGAAAAGTTGTTCCTTGTTTGTCTTAAGTTTGTATTTCTCTGGGCGTGGACATCCTGTATTTTATGCTGCAATTTTTTTTTTTTTTTTTTTTTTTGAGATGGAGTCTCTCTCTGTCGTCCAGGCTGGAGTGCAGTGGCAGGATCTCAGCTCACTGCAAGCTCCACCTTCCGGGTTCACGCCATTCTCCTGCCTCAGCCTCCCGAGTACCTGGGACTACAGGTGCCCGCCACCACACCTGGCCAATTTTTTGTATTTTTAGTAGAGACAGGGTTTCACCATGTTAACCAGGATGGTCTCCATCTCCTGACCTTGTGATCTGCCCGCCTTGGCCTCCCAAAGTGCTGGGATTACAGGCGTGAGCCACCGCGCCCTGCCAGCAACTTTTTTTTTAAAGGGAGCAAGTGAGTGGGCAGTGCAATAAGAGCTTATCAGTTAAGGGAAGTTCTAAAAAGGAAGCAAAGCATTTTACTAAGAAAGTCATTCCTTTGTTTTTCTGAAGCAAGTTCTTAGCTTGGGGAGGGGGTGCTGGGTCCTTCCTATATAGCTTATCAGCTTCTTGTTGCTTTTGAAGGGAGTTGTAAAGGTAGAAGTTTATTTTCAGATCAACAAGACTGTAGGATGCAAAGTGGGAACCAAATACATGGGGAGTATCCTCTAGAACTTAATCAGGAAATTCCAACAAAATATACAGCAGCCTTCTAGGATTGAATGGACAGTTATTCTAGTGAAGGTTTTAATTAAGAATGTCTATGTGTGTGAACATCTACCCATACTGAAATTTGTTTTCTTCTGATACTTACTTTCCAGAATTTCATACTGTCTAAGTAATAGGGAAAAATCTAGGTGTGTAACAGGGGAATGTCTCTGTTCTGGTACAGACTAAAGATTTTTCTCTTCATCTGGGTTCTCCTGATCCTCATTTTGTATGTATTACTGTTCTAGCATACACTTAACGCTGTTCTAGTCTACACTGTTCTATGCCCAAGTGTTCTTCTCATTATGAACTACAGAGAAATCCTAGTTCCTAGCTTCTCAGATTGCAAATCCTTCTAGTTCCAACTACTCTCCTCTAGTTCTGTCTATTACAGTACCACTGGTATCTTGGCTGTTTCTGAAATACACCAGGCATACTGCGGCTTCAGGGCATTGCTATTCGTTTGTGATATGCTCTGCCCCCATATATACACATAGTCCTTCTTTCAGCTGTTTTCTCAAAAGTCACCTTCTCAGCCAGGCTTGCCCAAGCCACACTATTTCATTGCACCACTACCCTGGGCATTCCTTTTCTATTCCTTTATACCTTATTTTTCATCTTTAAAAATAATGACTAGTAAACTTTAACTTTCTCTTATTATCTTCGTTATTTTATGTCTCACTAGCTGGTATAAACATTGCATGAGGGTTTCTTTTCTGTATCCTCAGTGTATAAAAGTGCCTCGCACATAGGAGGTTCTCCCTAAACAAGTCTGTTGAATTGATGAATGAATTTTAAATAGCCCAGTTCTCATTAACTCATGGACTAGAATAACTATCAGTTACTGAATGTTCTAAAATAACATATATCTGTTTTTCCAACATCTGAACTTTCTAATGTTGCTTCTTTACCAAATGTCCAGTTTGTCTGTGTTCCACTGTGGCAAATGGGTGTGGGCTGGGTTGTCATAACCTGGAGCAGCTCCAGAATTCCCATATGGGAGAAGCTTAGAGGCAACAGTAGTAGAGGAGCTAACAAAGGAAAAATTCATTCAGAGAAACTTGTAGGAGGTAGGAAGAATTAAGTATGAAAAGATAATTTGGAGTTATATTTTGGAAAGTAAAATGTCCTTCATGTTACACTCACAGAACAACCATATGAGGGATCTACAAAAAGTTCACATGAAATGTATATTATGAGAAAACTATGCATGGATTTTGATGGGTTTTGACATATTTTTGCACCAAAATAAACTCGTACTAACTTGTTATAGCATAGCTGAACAGGAACTTGTTTGAGGCACTAAGAAGGCTAAGCCAGCAGTTTGAAAAGAGCACCTATCAGAACATGAATCCCATTAAATTTGAAGCAAGAACAAAATCATATTTATGTTGAAGCTTAGGTTCAAGAAAGGTGAAATCATTGATGCTTTACAAAAAGTTTATGGAGACAGTGTCCCAAAGAAATCAGCAATCTGCAAACGAATAACCCATTTTGAGAAAGGACAAGACAATGTTGAAGATGAAGCCCTCAAAGGCAAACCATCCACATCAATTTGTGAGAAAAAAAACCTCACATCTTTTTCATCTTGTTCATGCCCTCATTGAAGAGGACCACAATGAACAGCAGAAACAATAGCCAACACCATAGACTTCTCACTTGGTTTAGTTTACACAATTCTAACTGAAAAATTAAAGTAGATCAAACTTTCCACTCGAAGGCTGCCAAAACCGTTGTGACCAGATCAGCTGCAGACAAGAGCAGAACTTTCAACAAAAACTGTAAACAAGCTGGATCAAGATCCTGAAGCATTTTCTTCAAAGAACTGAAACAGAAAATGGAGCCTGGCTTCATCAGTACAATCCTGAAATCAAAAGCACAAAGCAATGGCTACCAAGAGGTGGAAGCAGTCCAGGCAAAGCAAAAGAAGACCAGTCAAGAACAAAGGTCATGGCAACAGTTTGTGTGGATGCTCAAGTTACTTTGCTTGTGAATGCCTTTGAGAGCCAAGGAACAATAACATCTGCTTATGATGAGGGTGTTTTGAGAAACTTAGCCAAAACCTTAGCAGAGAAATGCCCAGGAAAGCTTCACCAGAGAGATCTGCTTTGCCATGACAACGCTTCTGCTCATTCCTCTCATCAAGCAAGGGCAATTTTGTAGGAGTTCTGATGGGAAATCATTAAGCATTCACCCTGTGGTCCCGATTTGGTTCCTTCTGATCTATTTTTTGTTTCCAAACCTTAAAAAAAATCTTTAAAGGGTACCCATTTTTCTTCAGTTAATAATGTAAAAAAGACTATATTGACATGCTTAAATTCCCAGGACCTTCGAGTCTTTAAGGATGGGCTTATTGGCTGGCATCATTGCTTACAAAAATGTGTTGACCCTGATGCAGCTTAAGTTGAAATATAGGGTTTATATTTTGGAAATGTTTATCTTTTAATTCCATTTTTTCAACAAACTTTAAAAAGTTCCCTTGTAGAAGATTTTTAAGCAGGATGTGATTTTATCAAATCAGGATTTTTCTGGTGACAGGGAGGAGGGTGGATGGAGCATAGAGAAACAGGAGGCATGTGGGTAATGTTTCTATAACAGGATTAATTTATTTTAAAGGAAGAACATAAAGAAGTCAATGAGTTTCCATCTGGATTTTTCTTAGTTTGGAAATCTTCTCTAGTTTCTAACAGATTTTATCATGACCTTAGTGTATTTTTGAGTTAACAAGCCTTGATAGAAAATAAAAATCTACTCTAAATATTTAAAAAATATATTTCAAGTGGTGATGGAACATTTCCTTTGTCATAAGGACATTTTACCAATCTGCATAGAAATGCTTTAAGTCTTGGAGAATTTCCTCCGTTTTGTTGAGGCTTCTGCCATCTGCCTTTTGAATTTTGGTTATTAAGGTTGAGCAGCTTTGTGGCCTACTCAGATTGCCAACATCTGCCTCATTTATTTAGGCTTTTTATTTTTCTAATAGCCAGGGTGAATTGAGTTTTAATGGATGGTACCGATTTTAACTTTGCTTTCTATTCAAAAATAAACTTTTTTTATATGAATCTAAATCTCTCGCTCCATCCACTTGCAGGCAAGTAGGCATTTTGTAGAATGTAATTATTACAGAGGAGCGATGCTGTTTTTTATTTAGCACAATTTACCTATTGCAGAGCACAGCATACAGTTCTATAACGCATAATGATCATAATGGGCTACATAGACCCTCTCAGCCAGCTCTATTTTTGCATATGATTCATTTTAATTTCAGAGGCACAAAAGGGATTATGTCTCTATTGGAATGTCTTGAGTAAGCCCTACAGCAGGGGAGCTGTGATGTCATTTGTTCTATGAAAAGCATGCTTTCATCTATTATGGACTGAGTCTGAAATATAAATATAAGATACTGAGGGATTTTTTTGTTAGTAAACTGGTCATATGCATTTTTCTCTGTTAATAATCAGGACACATTTTCTCATGCAAATCATTTATTTCATAACTAAAATCCAGAAGTTGTATCTCAAGTTGCAAACTGATTTAAAGTCATCATCTCCAACTTGCTTTTGCAGGTATCTGCTAGCTATTTGTGACAAACTGGGCAAGGCATTCTGTGGTTTTACTTTTTTAATTTGGATCACAAAACTTTTGTCAAATTAAGACTCTAAATATAAGTTACTATGTTCAATTTCTAGACGATTTTCTCAGCTTTATTGAAGTTATCTGTCTTCTGATTTTCATTTATTAAGATTAACTATACAAATTATCAAATTGCAACAACAACATTGACGATGAGATTGTGGCATAAAAAGTAACTTGGTGTGTTAAAACCACTGGACAAATTAGAAGTTGTGGATTTGGGTTCTAAATCAAGCATGGACTAGCCATGTCATTAGTGCTTACCACCTAATAGTTAAGTTTCAGACTATCACATGCCTTTCAAAGGGTTAGATCTATGTCAATTATAGATGGATAAAATTAGAGATACTTATTATGGAAAAGAAAAGGTGCTTGTAAGAGACGAAAAAGATAAAAAAATTCAGATATTTACCAAAGAAAATTGGCATAGCAATAGCAAATATCATTACAAAACAAATTGAGAAACTTATAGTTCAAGCAAATAACTTGTGATCACATACAAAATTTTGAAAGCAAAACTGAAAAGTGTGATATTATAGATATTTTAAAGAGATAAATCTGAAATCAACAAATAGTATGTAGTCCGTACAAGTCACATGAAACATTTAAAGAAAATTTCGAAAATATTTACATACTAAGTCACCAAGAAAGTCTAAAAATTTCAGCGCACTGATGCAATGCAAGCCAGATTTTCTGATCAAAACTCAATTAAATTAGAACTTAACAACAACAATAATCATCACTCTAAACCCATTGTGTTAACCAGGTTTTAGAATTGCCCTAACCATCCTTGACTTCTGTGATTCAGACTTTGTGTAGTCCTCTCCCACATTGTATCACAGTTGGTCTCTCTCACCAGGAGAACGTGACAGAAGTTATGGTGTGTTCTATCTGAAACTAGGTGATAAAGGGCATCACAGCCTCTGCCTTGATATCCCTGGGACTGCTGGCTGTGGAAGATCAGTAAGCAGCTCTGTGAAGACATCTACAGTGGAAGGAACTGAGGAAAGTGAAGGATGTGGTCTTCAGGCAGCAGTAATGTAAGAAAACCAGGATTGGATCCTGCCACTTCAGTTGTGTCTTCAGCAAACTGTAGCCCTGACAAACATTTTGACTATAACCTCATGAGACCCTGCACCAGCACTACCCAACTGAGGCACTCCAATATTCCTGATCTCAGAAATAGATTTCTATTGTAGATTATAAACATGTGTTGTTTTAAGCCACTAAATTTTGGAGGAATTTTGCTTTACAGCAATGGGAAAGTAACATATTCCTATACTTTTACAACTGATATTCTATTCCTAAGTAATTCCTGAGTATGATTGTTTTTTGACTTATTTTGTGGATTTGTGCCCCTGCCCAAATCTTATGTCAAATTGTGATCGCCAGTGTTGGAGGAGGGGACTGTTGGGAGGTGATAGGATCATGGTGGTGGATTTACCCCTTGCTGTTCTTGTGATAGTGAGTGAATTCTCACGAGATCTGGTTGTTTAAGAGTGTAGCACTTCCCACTTTCCTCTCTTCCTCTTTCTCAGGCCATGTAAGACATGCCTCATTCTTCTTCACCTTCCATCATGATTGTAAGTTTCCTGAGCTCTCCCCAGCCATGCTTCCTGTACAGCCTGTGGAACTGTAAGTCAATTAAACCTCTTTTGTTTTTAAATTACCCAGTTTCAGATAGTTTGTTATAGCAATGTGAGAAGAAACTCATACAGTAGATATTTCAAAAATTACATGAAAGTAGTGATAAAAATACAGTTGACCCTTGAACAACATGAGTGTGAACTGCTCAGGTCCACTTATGCAGATTTTTTCCAACAAATATATTAGAAAAAAAATTGAAGATTTACAAGAATTTGAAAAAAATTTGCAGATGAAACAAGTGGCCTATAAATATTTTAAAAATTAAGAAAGCCTTCAGTATATTATGAATGCATAAAATATATGGAGATACTAATCTGTTTTATCATTTACTACCATAAATATGCACAAATCTCTCATAAAAGTTAAAATTTATCACACTTACACACTTATAGACCCTACATAGTGCCATTTGCTGTCTAGATAAATGTAAATAAGGGTAAAAATGCAATATTAAATCATAACTGCTTAAAATTAAATGTAGTGCATGCTGTACTACTGTAATAATTTCATAGCCACCTCCTGTTGCTATTACAGTGAGCTCAAGTGCTGCAAGTAACATGCAATGCTAATTATCTCCGTGTGAGCAGTTCAGCTCTCCAGTAAATTGTGTGTCACAGTAAAAAAGTGATATTGTTGTTCTCACATATATTTCATCATATTTAATGCAATACTGTAAACCTTAAATAAAATCATGGGACCCATACAAAGCACTGCTAGTGATGCTGGAAGTGCTCCTAAGAAACGGAGATGTCATGTCACTACACAAAAAGGTTGAATTGCTTTATATGTACCATAGATTGAGGTCTGCAACTGTGGTTGCCCGCCATTTCAAGATCAAGGAGTCCAGTCTAAGGACCATTGTTAGAAAAGGAAATGTTGAAGCAGTTGTTGTACCTACGGCAGCAGGCACAAAACCCCTGCACTTTTTGAGGAATACCTTTTTATCTCATGTAGAAAATGCAACTTTTATGTGGGTGCATAATTGCTATAACAAAGGCACACCTGTATGATTCAAGAAAAAGTGAAGTCATTACATAACAACATAAAGCAAAAGAAAGGTCAAGGACCTAAAACTGGAGAAACTAATGGCAGCAAAAGATGGTTTGATAATTTTAGAAAGACATTTGGCTTAAAAATGTCAAGATAACAGCAGAAGTAGCATCTGCTAAACAAGAGACAGCAGAGGAGTTCCCAGATGCTGTTGAGAAAATCATTGAGATGAAAGGATATCTGCCTGAACAGGTTTCTAATGCAGAAGACAGTGCCCTATTCTGGAAAAACAAAATGCCACAAAGAACACTTATTAGTAAAAAAGAGATGTGAGCACCAGGATTTAAGTCAGGGAAAGACAGACTAACTGTGCTACTGTGTACAAATACAGTCAGGTTTATGATCAGGACTGCCCCTTGTCTATAAAGCTGCTAACACCTGAGCCTGGAAGACAAAAGGTAAACAACAGCTGCCAGTCTTTTGGTGGTACAGCAAGAAGGCCTGGACAAGAGAATCCTTTTTTTCTGGACTGGTTTCATGGATATTTATCCCTAAGGTCAAGAAGTAGTTTGCCAGTAAAAGACTGCCTTTAAATTTCTCTTCGTATAGAATAATGCCCATAGCCACCAGATCCCCATGAGTTCAACACTGAAGGCACTGAAGTGGTTTCTGTGTCCCCAAATGCAATGTCTCTAATTTATCTTATAGATCACAGGGCCACAGTATCTTTAAGACTCATTACACACTGTACTCTATGGAAAATATTATCAACACTATAAAGAGAACCTCGATAGAACATCATGAAAGTCTGGAAGGATTACACCATTGAAGATATCATCATTGTTATAGAAAATGCTGTAAAAGCCATCAAACTCAAAACAGTAAATTTCTGCTAGAGAAAACTGTGTCCAGATGTTGTACATGACTTCACAGCATTTACGACAGAGCCAGTTGAGGAAATCATGAAGGAGATTATGGATATGGTGGGGGATAAAGGGTTTCAAGGTATGGATCTTGGAGAGATTGAAAAGTTAATGGACACCAAACCAGAGGAATTAACAGAAGATGACTTGATGAAGGTGAGTGCTCTGGAACCAGTGCCAGATGATGAGGAAGAAGATGACAAGAAGAAGCAGTGCCAGGAAACAAATTGATATCAGCCAATCTGGCAGGAAAGTTCTGATTATTCAAGATGGCTTTTGACTTGTTTCATGACATGAAGTCTTCTATGATATGGGTACTGAACCTAAAACAAATGGTGGAAGGATGAGCACCACATAGAAACACTTTTAGAGAAATGAAAAGGCAAAAAAGACAGAAATTACAATGCATTTCCTTAAAATTACACCAAGTGTGCCTGCCTCCCCTTGTACGTTCTCCACCTCTTCCACCTCTCCCACCCTGAGACAGAAGATGAATTCCCCCTCTTCTTCCTCTTCCTCAGCCTACTCAACATGAAGATGAAGAGGGTGAAGACTTTTATGATGATCCATTTCTACTTAATGAATAATAAATATATTTTCTCTTCTTTAGTATTTTCTTAATAACATTTTCTTTTCTCTAGCTTACTTTATTGCAAGAATATAGAATATAGTATATAATACATATAATATACAAAATATGTGTGAATCATATGTTTGCATTATTGGTAAGGTTTCCCGTCAATAGTAGCTATTTGTAGGTATGTTGTTAGAAGTCAAATGTTATATAGGAATTTTTGACTGTGGGAAAGGTCAGCACCCCTAACACTTGTGTTGTTCAAGAGTCAATTGTATAGTGAATATCTATGCAACAACTAGCCATGTGTTTTTATAATAAATATTTTATTCAATATAAGTTTATATTTGTGGTCTCATTCTTTAAAAAATTATTGCTGGAATATTTCATAAGGCATAACCCAGAAAACATATTATTTAACCACAAATACTTATGTATTTATTTACAGATAAGGAATTAAAGATAATACAATCACAAAATCATTATCACATATAACTAAATGATCAATAATCCCTGATATAATATCTAGTTGATATTCAAGTTTCTTGGATTATCTACAAAAAATACCTGCAGCATGTTTGTATGAGATCGAAGCAAATCTACACATCATGACCTCTTTTGTTATTGTTGTTGTTGTGGAGAGAGGGTCTGGCTATGTTACTCAGGCTGGTCTTGAACTGCTGGGCTCAAGCAATCCTCAGCCACCTGAATAGCTGGGATTGCAGGCATACGCCACTACCATGCCCAGCATTCACAGACTCTTAAGTGTCCTTTAACTGATGGTAGTTTTCCTCCATCCCTGACCATTTTCTGTTTACTTGTTGAAGAAAATGTACTTGTTTTCAGTCAGAATTTCAAATATCTATTTGGCTGATTACTTTCTTGTGATGTCATTCCTCTTATTTCTATGTACCTTATATTGCCTGTCAGCTATTATTTGTGTCTTGGGACTTAGTTAGATTCCTGTTCATTTACAGTATGTGTGTGTGTGTTTGTGTATGACCATTGGTGGTGCTATACACTGTCTATGGCATTATGCAAGAGGGAATGTAAAAATGAATGGCCCGTGCTTAGTGATAAGATTAGTTCATTGATTCAGGATCCATCAAGTATCCACCTAGCAGATCCATCCCTTACAAATTTTCAAACAAGAATTTCTCTAATGGTTTTAGGATATGTGGATTATCACTACCTAGACTTATGCATTAAGAATAGCAAAATGGTGAATTTCTAATTCTATCATTCCTTTTGCATTTATTGGCTCACACTTAAATTTAAAAATTTCCCCTACCAACTATTTGTTTACCTTGCAGCAAATATTCTACAGAAAAGGCATAATAAATACTTAATTAAGCATTGAAATTACTTACTATTTAAAAAAAAATGATAGGTGACCAATGAGTGTCTTCTATCTTTGGCCATTAGAAGCCCTTTCAAGTAGGTTGATGTATTTTTTTGTTTACATGATCTCAATATTCATTACTTTCTCTGTTTGAGGGCGCAACTAGACACCCTATCTCATTTATATCTGTCCTGCCCCAGACCTAGAATCACCATTTCTCTAAGAAGTTATGGACACTAGGGATTTTTAGTATATTTAATTCTCTGTACCTGGAAGAATGTATATCAGCTCAATTTTTAACATATAGATATTAAAATGAGCAAATTCATATAGGCAACAGAAGTATAAACCATCTGTCTCTTACCTTTTTGTTTTTGACCTCAGAACTACCTGACAGTGAACCTATGGTGTTATTTCAGGTAACTTTTACAAATATATCACATCTCGTATGTAATTAACACTTATAATCTTCTTGATTAAAAGGCCAGTAAAATATATAAAATATTTAAATGATCTGTGTATAATTTTTCAACTTTTCCCTTAGAAAACTTTATTACTTCCCATGCACACAGAAACCTTACTTATTTTCACCAGTTCATTGTAGTATGAAGACCAACTTTTACTAGAGATTAAAAAAGAAGTATGAATGCACTTTGTGTATTTATTTAGAAGCTGACTTTCTATACAATCTCTGAGATAGTTCTTTTTTTTTTTTTTTTTTTTTTACTAAAATGAAAATGTAGTCAATGACAATCCAAATGCATATTATCCTGCTTTGTTCATGGGACCTTATACAAATGATTGGCTATTTTTCCGTTCAGAATTAAGGATTATTGAAGCTTGTGTAACAGGGACTTTGTTCTTCATAATTCATTTTCTGTTACTTGCTTATGCAATGAAGCATTATAATTTGCAGGCTATTACTTCACAGGACTTACAACTTCATTGCTTGTACAAAGGAAAGAACAAAGATGAGTCAGGAGTATAAAAAACATCTCACAGGTAATGAAAAAGTAAATCAACTTACATTTCCTGCAAATTGATAAGTAGGAAGTTTTTACTAATGAATCCTATAATTCTCACAATGCAGTGTTTATTTTCAGGGTTCCCTTCTAAGAAATATGATTGTATAAGGTAATTATTATACACTGAGATTAGGTTCCAGGTAAGCAAAACCCATAGTGAATTACTTCCATAAGAATTAAAGCAAAATATCTAGATATGCTCTCAAATTGCCACATCTCAATAATTTCAAATCCACTAACACTTTCAACAGACTCATTAAATTGTATTTGGAACGGAGCGGGTAGATTCATTTAAAAACAAATGAATCATTCTTCCCTTACAAATGTCCATCTTGGCTTTGATTAAAACAACTGAGACAGAATAACTTGTTGAACAAAGCCATAGCCATTCAAAAATGCTCCCAAGCAAGGTAAGTTAGTCAGGGTGAGTGAAGATCATTCACATTGGCATTCATTGCCCTCTTAGTATTTGGGATGTTGAAGGTCAAGAATCTGCAGGATGTCAAAGGCCTAAACATAATTTTTTCTTCTTAATCCTTACTTGAGTCAATAATGTAGGAATAGAGCATTTCCTACTTGGCACTATGATTTTGAACATTTGGCAAACTGCAAAAATGAAAACTGTGTATGGCTTGCTTATGAGGTGACTGTGGAATAGAGGAAATCTATACATGAGGCACATATGTAGAAACCAGTATGCAAAGAATCAATATAATGAGGAGTGAAAAAGAAACAACAACTAGAGATTTGGAAGATATTAAATAAATACTATCAATAACTTTATGCCAATAAATTTGAAAAATTAGATAAAATGGAAATATTCCTAGAAAAATATAAAGTAAAAACAAACAAAAAAATAAAAATACAAGTTCAGCAAAAAACAGGAAATATGCATAATCCTACAGTCATTAGTATACTTACATCAGAAGATAAATATCTTCCCATCAGAAAACCCCAGACTCAACAGTCGGGAACCTGCTCTAGCAGCTGCATGAGGCAGGCGATGGAGCTGGAGCCTGAGCTGCTGCTGTAGGAGGCCCTTGAGAACGTGGAGGTGGTACAGAACTACTGGTGGGAGCTGGGTCACCAGCTTGAGGGGCTGTGGGAGGCATAGAGATCAAAGAGAGTGCATCACAGACAAGCGATGTTCTCAAACAACATTTTCATGATTTAAAGGGAACCCATGGGAAGCTCCTGGATGAGCGATTGGTGACCCTTTTGCAAGAGGTTGGCACCATTAAACAGACCATTAAACCACTAGATGATTGCCAGAAGCTCATAGAACACAGAGTTAACACTCCAGAGGGCTTAGTCCAAGAAGATGAGATTGCCATGCTTGGTGGTGTAGAAGAGAATGAGAAACTGTGGAGCTTTACCAAAAAGGCCTTGCATGTTCAGTTGGACAGCATACCAGAAGTACCTTTACTGGTTGATGTGCCTTGTTTATCTGCTCAGTTGGATGAGTGTATTCTTAACATCATGAAAGACCACATTCTTAAGCATGGAACAGTAGCATCTCGCCCACCAGTACAGATAGAAGAACTGATAGAGAAACCTGGAGGCATCATAGTACAATGGTGTAAGGTGGATGATGACTTTACGGCACAAGATGACAGGCTCCAGTTTCGTAAATGTACTTCAAATCGTTTTGAGGATGTATATGTAGGTTCCGAAACTGAATTCAGAGTATTGCACATAGACTCCAACGTTGAAGATCATTTCAGAATCTGCACCCGAAGAGATGGCTGACAGGAGCAGAGTCCTTGGAGTGTCCCCCAATTAGTTCATTCCATATCGGAGCCTCATGAGTGGACAGCTGGTTTTGAGAGGAGCAGTGTGAGCAATGGAAGAAATACGTCATGCCGGAACGATTCTAAATCTTCAGGTGTTCTCAACTCCAGAGCTCCAACTTATCTTTCTGGGCAGACATTAATATTTAGAGTTGAAACTGTGGAACTACCAGACAGAAGAGACTGTATAGGAGTGTGCCATAAAAACGGAATGTCGGCCGGGCACGGTGGCTCACGCCTGTAATCTCAGCACTTTGGGAGGCCGAGGCGGGTGGATCACGAGGTCAGGAGATCCAGACCATCCTCGCAAAGACGGTGAAACCCCATCTCTACTAAAAATACAAAAAATTAGCCAGGCGTGGTGGCGGGCGCCTGCAGTCCCAGCTACTCGGGAGGCTGAGGCAGGAGAATGGCGCGAACCCGGGAGGCGGAGCTTGCAGTGAGCGGAGATCGCGCCACTGCAGTCCGGCCTGGGAGACAGAGCGAGACTCCATCTCAACAGCAATAACAACAAAGCCGGGATAAAGCTGTATGCATTGGTACAAATGGTGCATTTTTGTAAATGGAAAAGAAATGCCTCATCAGTTACATGCAATTACTTCTGAGTCCACTGTCACATTTGACATTGAAGCTGTGACTCTAGGAACCACCAATAATAATGAAGGCAGAAACGTAAAGCTACAGTAACTCTTAGTTCAAATAATAGAGACGTGATTTTTGATTGGTTACTTGATCAATCTTGTGGTTGTCTTTACTTTGGATGCTCATTTTTCTATCCTGGATGGAAAGTGTTACAGTTTTAGATGTTCGGGTGCTTGGGTTTGGATTGCAGGATTTAACCTAGCTGTCCTCAGCCCAATTTAGTTGTAATTCATTTTTTTAAAAAAGTTGAATTAATCTCTCACTTGGGCCATTGGAAATGGAAAGTGTTTACTGGATTCATTTTGTAATATTTTAGCAAAAAGAGACTTCAATGTTGTGGACAAAATCGTGTAATTCAGTCAATTTTATTTTTAGCATGCTGGTAACTAAAGTTTCACATCATAATAAAAATAAAATTGGCTTCAAAAGTATGAGAAGACATAGAAATTCCTATACCCTTCCACTGTACTTCTTAAAGTTGGTTATTAGACCAGGAAAACTTAATGTAATATTATTTAAATAATCATCATAAAGGATCCAAGCCCATGTAAATCTTTAGAATTAAACAAGAGGAACAACCCAGATAGAAGATGTGTAATATGCAACCACTCATTTGCTGTCCACATGAATGTGTTGGCTGTGCTCTCCATGTTCAGGTATTTGCAAGCAGTGTTGACTTTTATCCCATTATAATTTTTGCATTTTTTAAAATGCGTGAGCAAATGTCTGTAGTAGGCAAGTATTATCTTTTGTTTATTTCATTGCAATTTGATTCAAGATAGGCTACAGTATTTTTACAGGGTAAAACTACTCGTGGAAGTTGTATGCACAGCACTGTTAGCCATTTATCATGTATGTAATATGCACATGTGTGTATCCAGCTTGTGACATGCATTTTACTCTTTGTAGGGTGTGAGCTGCAGTCCATTTTAATGTCAGTTTGAGAAATGAGGTCTCTTAGTGGACAAACAAAAATAAGGTAAATACTTAACCTATTTTTTTGAAAACCTAAATTTGTGTGTAAAATATTTATTTGAAGGACTTGCTTTATATGTAAAAGTAATTGTCTTAGCTTGCTATACCAGCTTACAGATTTTATTCTAGTGTGAATTATTTGTTTCATTTTTACCAGTAGTTAAAACATAGAAAAGCAAGTATGATATTTTTGTAAGATAATTTATTTGGGGATTCATGAACCCTGTTAGACAATCATGACCTTTTTTCCTTATCTTTTGACATGTAAGTACTTGCTCACAGAATCCTCCAAGAAGTTCTCATCCCAAGGTAGATGTCCCCACTGAAACAGGAGGACTCAGGAGGCTCATCTGAGAATCACAGTCATAACTAGGATGGGACATTGCTGTTGGCAATTTGCCAATGAGTGCAAGTGACTGAGGCAAATCCTAAGGTAGCTGGGAAAACCAAGACACTCAGAGATTTCCAAACTTTTCAGTGAGAAGACCATGCCCCACACTGATGAGAAACCGACAGGAATAGAATATGAATTATTCTGGACAGGTGTTCTTGAAGTAAAGGACAGAACTGGTCCAGATACTACAGGGTGACAAAACAGAAAGTACTGAAGAAGTGGCTAGAAGAAAGATTATATTTTTAATACTTAATCATAGCGCATCATAGAAGTCCTATAACCCAGAAGCTAGAGAAGTATCTTGAGCCACACCTACATTCCTAAAACTATAGGAAAACTAATTTCATTTAAATATGAGGATAAATTAAAAATTTGAGTTTGAAAAATTACAAATATATAATTTTTAAAAAAGAATAAAGGTAACCTGAGAAAACATGCATAAAAATGTGGCTAAAGTGTTTAGTGAAAGTAAAACCTAATGAGACAAAAGGGCTTAGGGGAAATTTAAAAGATGAAACAAACTGTGAAACATCCTCCTACAAATACACACATGATGTATTTCACAACAAAAATTATGAAATGAATAGTTGGTTTATAACTTGGATCTCCCAATAGTATGATTGTCATGTAGGTCTGAAAAATGAAATTGGTTATGGCCTTCCCTTCAAAAAAAATTAATATTCTTCTTTTGACTTTTAAATTATAAAATGAAGAGTATTTTCTCTTTCTCCTTTTTCCCCATGACCCATCATGAGTGGAAAAAAACATGTTGAAATTTGGAAAATTGAGGATATAAAAATGCTCCCTAAAAGTCCTATTTTGTCTTCAATTTTTACTTTTAGGATCCTTTTCTTACTCTTTTTCATTCTTGCTTCTCTTTTCTTTGTTTTAATGAGTACCCCTTTTATTAATACCCACTTAGGATTCCAATAACATCAATATCGTTATTAAGCAAATGATTTAAAGCATGTAAAAATATGAAATTGTGAAATACTTGTTTTAAAATCATAACTATGCTCTATTCTTTGCTTGTTTGTTTTTTTCCAAGAAAGGATTTGTATTCTTTCTTACTATTGAATGTGAATCTACAACTACTTCAGATAAACAATATCTTAAAATAAGAAAAAGTAAGACTGGTGAGGTCTAGACTGGCCTTTGAGCTGTAATTTGTGACCCCTGTTCTAGAAGTCTATTATTTAAGCTTCTACTTTTACATCTATAAACGATCTCAAATAAATTTTTATGTCTTGCCCAAGGTAAAGAGGTTCAAATATTTTTATAACATGGCCTCACTTCTTTGCACAATATATGAAAAAACTTTCTCTCAAAAAGAAGATATTCAAATGACCATACGAATATATCATATGGAAATTTGCTCCACATTATGAGAAATGAGAATAATGCAAATTAAAACCACCACCCTAAACCATCACTGCATACTACTCAGAACAGATAAAATGTAAACTGCGGATATGGGGTGGCTACATACTTTGCATGAATGTATAATGGTACAATGACATTGGGAAAAACAGTCTGTCAGCTTCAGACAAGATTAAACGCACCCTTTCCTGTGTCCTAGCAATTCTACTCATGATACACAGGCAAGAGACATGAGTAAACATGTGCACTAGACATGCGCATGAGTTTCAAACTGAACTTGACCTAAATGCCCTTC
Organism: Homo sapiens; assembly: GCF_000001405.40. Lineage (NCBI taxonomy): Eukaryota > Metazoa > Chordata > Mammalia > Primates > Hominidae > Homo > Homo sapiens. The sequence goes on from NC_000002.12 coordinate 103,498,726, forward strand.
AATAAGAGAATGGATAAGCAAATTCCAGTGTGTTCATATAATGGGGTCCTATGCAGCAATAACAAAGAATAACACAAGTTTTAATGTATATGTATGACCAATACATATAATATGTATGACAAACATTTTATGTAGTTATATGACAACATTTGTATATATGTATATGTATGACACATATAAAACATGGTTGAATGGTAAGAACATTATGTTGACTGAAGGAAAGCAGATGTAAAACAGTGCACAGTATGCGCCTCCATTTATAAGAAATTCAAGAGCAGGTAAAACTATGCTGATTATTTTTGAAGAATTTGGTATTGACACAAAAATCCTATAGAAAAATCTCCTGGTGTTATGGAAATGTGCTATATGTTTATCTAGAGGGTGATTTACTGGGTATGTACTTATGTATGGCATTATCAAGCTTTCCACTTAATAACTGTGCACTTTACTGAATGTAAATTGTCTCTTAATTACAAAAGATGGCATCAATGGGGCAAGAGTGTGGGGACATTATTGAAAGGGTTTTTTTTTTTTGAGACAGAGTCTCACTCTGTTGCCCAGTCCAGGTTCAAGTGATTCTCCTGCCTCAGCCTCCCAAATTGCTAGGATTACAGGTGTGCACCACCACACATGGCTAATTTTGTATTTTTGGTGGAGATGGGGTTTCATCATGTTGGCCAGGCTCCTCTCGAACTCTTAACCTCAGGTGATCCACCCGCCTTGGCCTCCCAAAGTTCTGGGATTATAGACATGAGCCACCACTCCTGGCCAGAAAGGTTTTTACTCTGACAAACTAACCAATAGAAAATATCTGAGACTTTGTTTACTCTTTTATTTATTTCTTTTATTTTTTTGAGACGGAGTCTCGCTCTGTCGCTCAGGCTGGAGTGCAGTGGCGCGAACTCGGCTCACTGCAAGCTCCGCCTCCCGGGTTCACGCCATTCTTCCACCTCAGCCTCCTGAGTAGCTGGGACTACAGGCGCCTGCCACCAGGCCCAGCTAATTTTTTGTGTGTTTTTTAGTAAAGAAGGGGTTTCACCGTGTTAGCCAGGATGGTCTCAAGCTCCTGAGCTCGTGATCCGCCCGTCTCAGCCTCCCAAAGTGCTGGGATTACAGGTGTGAGCCCCCGCGCCCGGCCGAGACTGTTTACTTTCTAGAAAAAGTAATTTATTATTTATTTAAATTTAAGTAATTAGGTCATTCATTCATTAATTAATTTAACAGATATTTATTTTGCACCTGCCAGATGCTGGGTAAGTTTTTAGCACATAAGACAAATTATCCTTTTGAAAAATTTCCAGTATTGAAAGACATTTTATCACTCTATTTTTTTTTTGTACAATTTATCACTTTTACTATATTTTAATACTAAAGTAAATACTTTTATTAAATTTCTTTGATTTATACTCCAGATTTAAGGAATCCTGAAGATTTCTAGTTCTAATCTGTTATTATGAGGTTTATATTAACTTCAAACACTCTAATTTTTCCTCATTTCCCTTTCCCTCCAATAGCTTCAATTCCCACTTTTAGCCTGTATACAGTATTTCTCTCTCTTTCTGGTCCAGTGCCACTTATATTCCCATTTCCATCTCACTATCTTCACGACTTTGTATCTTCTTGAACCTCTTATCTTTGCTGAAAGGAGCTAGATACACACACACACACACACACACACACAAACATAAATTATAACAGCCATGGAAAAATGCAGGATCACAATCTAAACCATTTTTTCTCTTATTGCTTACAACACTTTTATATTGTTAGTAAAATTTAAAAAAAAACACTTAAAAATATAGGTTCTAGTTAGTAGTGAGTGACAAAACCGTCTTTTTCTTTTGTATTCAGTACTTTTTTTTCTTGGTTGTTTTATATGATTGATCTGTATATAGTTCAGACCTGAAGACAGAATATATGATTCCTCTCAAGTCTCAAAGCCGCTGTTTGAATGGCACTTTATTTACATTAGCATTCCTAATTACTTAATGACCAATCAGATATGGTTCATTGCTAGTAAGTGTAGAAACATGTTGTCTGAAGGATGTAGTTTAATTAGTATACTTCTAAAAACATGTCCCTCATGACCATTTGATGTAATCATTATTTTATGTATTTAACTGTGAAATTCATATTTACTCAGCAGGCTAGAGAATAGCGTTTAGTTCTTAAAGCTGTTTAATAGAGCATAGTTAGATTTTTAAAGGAGCCTGCAAAATATTTTAAAAAGTAGGTTACTTAAAAAAAAGTCAGCAGTCCAATAAAGTAGTTATTACACTTAAATACTAATATCATATTCATAAAACAGTAAAAGAGGAATAGATACATGAAGAAGCTCACAGTAATTTGTCCCTTAATGACATAGGTAAAAGAATCTCACATTCATCTAAGCCATTGAGATTATTTAGACATTTTTACTCTTAAAGATTTTGAAAATGACCTAATTTCTGACATAACCGATGATTTCTATTTTTCCTCCTACTGGTTATTCATTACATGACAAAAAAATGAGATATATTTTACTTTCAGAAACACTCAACTCCCGGCCTGCACTGGATGGTGGAGGATGATAATTGTTTTTCCAAGTAAGTCTTTTCCTAATATATTTTTCATGGATTGTCATTTATTTTGGGTGTATTTTTTTTTTTTTTTGAGATGGAGTCTTGCTCTGCTGCCCAGGCTAGAGTGCAGTGTCATGATCTCAACTCACTGCAACCTCCGTCTCCCAGATTCAAGCGATTCTCCTGCCTCAGCCTCCCGTGTAGCCAGGATTACAGGTGTGCACCACCACACCTGGCTAATTTTTTTGTATTTTTAGTAGAGAGAGGTTTTCATCATGTTGGCCAGGCTCGTATCAAACTCCTGACCTCAGGTGATCTGCTCACCTCAGCCTCTCAAAGTGCTGGGATTACAGGCATGAGCTACTGTGCCCAGCTTGGATTGTCATTTATACTTGACTTCTGAGAAGCACCAAATTGTTTAACTTGGGGGAGTCACTTTTATAATTAGTATATTCAAGAATATTAGTTTGCAAGGATTTGACAACTGATAATAGATGATACTGTGAGCAATAATCATTGCGTAGAGCTTTGTAGTATGCCTCCTCGTATGATCACTCATCATTCATTATCCAGGTTTTGATTCGAATATGAATCGAACAGTCACCAAAACAGATGCCTCAGGGGTACTTCATTTGCTTTATGTTCAGGAATCAGTCAATAACTCAGAAATTGATCCTAGAATTTTAGACATTTTCTCACTCAATTCCTTCACACATTATTTCAGGAGTACACAGGCAATATCTTCATGGCCATCTCCCATTTGAGGTACTAATAGCAGTGATAATATTGTCAATGTTACTGTATCAGTCCTATGATTATCAATATTATAAATCAAGTTTTCTCAGCCTGGCACAGTGGCTTACGCCTGTAATCCCAGCACTTTGGGAGGCTGAAGCAGGTGGATCAGTTGAGGTCAGGAGTTCGAGACCAGCCTGGCCAACATGGTGAAATCCCGTCTCTACTGAAAAAAAAATAATAAGTAAAATAAAATAAAATTAGCCAGGAGTGATGGTGGGTACCTGTAATCCCAATTACTCGGGAGGTTGAGGCAGGAAAATTGCTCGAACCCGGGAGACGGAGGTTGTGGTGAGCCAAGATAGTGCCACTGCATCCCAGCCTGGGCAACAGAGAGAGACTCTGTCTCAAATATATCAAGTCTTCTTATATACCAAATATTTTTATAATTATTTTACATGCTTGGACTTGTTTATTCTATAAAGCTATCTACTGAATTAAATATTCTTATTTCCATTTTCCAGGTAAGAAAATCAAAATATTGAGACATTTAATACCTGCCCTGACCATCATATATAATTAGTAACTGATGAAACCTAGATTTAATAAACCCTTTTAGAAGTTATAAATAGAAATTTTTGGAACTTTAAGAAAGGAAGATGGCAAATACATTTGCAAAGTTACTATCTATGTTTAGTCATTACAGTACTAGAAACACCTAAGGTAATATGTTTTAAACAAAATATGAAAATACACGTAAACACTTCTTGTAATACTTTTTCTACAAGTAAACGATGAGTTTATTTTTAGCTTTTTCTTTGCATTTCCATGATTAGAAGTCTAAAGACAGGTTGAGGCACACCCATCTTTCCAATAGCCTTTTTCTAAGCACATATGAGGAAAGGACTTTCGGCCTAGGCTTAGGTGTCATGGAGGTAGGCTTCTAGGAGCCCTCTCTATCTGGTGAGGTCACTTTGATTACAGTTGCTGATGTTGTATTTATTGCCTTGCTGAAGATTAACCTCTCCATTTTTCTTCAATATCTAATTACATACAGAGATACAGAGTGTAGGACTAGTATTTGTTTAGGTTTAAAAAGAGTATTTTCTGCAAATGTAATTAAAGGTAGGTTTCTTTTTTTTATACTTTTGTTTTATGTTTGGGGTACATGCACAGGTTTGTTACATAGGCAAATGTGTGTCATGGGGGTTTGTTGTACCTATGATTGCATCACCCAGGTATTAAACCTATTACCCATTAGTTATTTTTCCTGATCCTTTCCCTCTGCCTACCCTACACCCGTAGATAGGCCCCTGTGTGTGTTGTTCACCTCTGTGTGTCCATGAGTTCTCATCACTTAGCTTGCACTTGTGAGAACATGTGGTATTTGCTTTTCTGTTCCTGCATTAGTTTACTAAGTATAATGGCCTCCAACTTCATCCATGACCCTGCAAGGGACATGATCTCATTATTTTCTATGGCTGCATAGTATTCCATAGTGCATATGTACCACATTGTCTTTATTCAGTCTACCATTAATGGACATTTAGGTTGATTCCATGTCTATGCTATTGTGAATAGTGATGCAATGAACATATCTGTGTATGTATCTTCATAAGAGAACAATTTATATGCCTTTGGGTGTATACCCAGTAATGGGATTGCTGGGTCAAATGGTATTTTTGTTTTTAGGTCTTTGAGGAGTTGCCATACTGTCTTCCACAATGTCTTTTACACTCCCACCAGCAGCGTATAAGCATTTCTTTTTCCCCACAACTTCGCCATCTGTTGTTTTTTGACTTTTTAATAACTATTCTGATTGGTGTGAGATGGCATCTCATTGAGGTTTTCATTTGCATTCCTCTAATATCAGTGATGCTGAGGTTTTTTCATATGATTGTTGGCCGTATGTATGTCTTCTTTTAAGAAGTGTCGAGCAACTTCAGCAAAGTCTCAAGATACAAAATCATTTTGCAAAAATCGCTAGCATTCCTATACACCTATACAATCAAGCGGAGAGACAAATCATGAACAAGCTCCCATTCACAATTGCAACAAAAAGAATAAAATACCTGGGAATACAGCTGACTAGGGAGGTAAAAGACATCTACAATGAGAACTAAAAACCACTGCTCAAAGAAATCAGAGATGACCGAAACAAAAGGAGAAACATTGCATGCCCATGCATAAGAAGAAGAAATACTATTAAAATGGCCATGCTGCCCAAAGCAATTTATAGATTCATTTCTATTCCCATTAAACTACCATTGACATTCTTTAGAGAACTAAGAAAAACTTTCTGAAGATTCATATGGAACAAAAAAGAGCCCAAATAGCCAAGGTAATCCTAAGCAAAAAGAACAAGGCATAATGGTACCCAACTTCAAACTATACTACAGGGTTACAGTAACCAAAACAGCATGATACTGGTACAAGAACCAACACATAGACCAATGAAACTGAATACAGAACCCAGAAATACAACTGCACACCTACAACTATCTGATCTGTGACAAACCTGACACAAACAAGCCCCAGGGAAAGAATTCCCTATTTAATAAATGGTGCTGGGATAACCGATTAGCCATATGCAGAAAATTGAAACTGGACTCCTTCGTTAGGCCATATACAAAAATTAACTCAAGATGGATTAAAGACTTAAATGCAAAACCCAAAACTATAAAAGCCCTGGAAGACAATCTAAGCAATGCCATTCTGCACATGGGAATGGGCAAAGATTTCTGTAAGGAAACCAGGACAAGAGGCTTTATTTTTTAATGTGTAATGTAATGTATTGACAGTTCTCTAAAACCTGGCACCATAAGGTGTCATGCAGTAGCGAAATTAGCCCAAACATTTGGTGTCAGACTTGGGCTCAATCTCCAGCTATACCAAATAGTATATGCAAAACTTTGGACAACTTGTTACACTGTACTAGATATATTTTTCTTTTATTTTTCTCTGTTTTTTTTCTTATCTTTTCTCTTTTATTCTTATAAAAAAGGCATGGAATAATATACCTTTTATAAGGATTAAATTAGATTACATTGATAAAGTACATAACAAAGTTCCTGGCACTGAATATGTTTTCAAAAACTGACAGATACAGTGAGTGATACCTTGCATTGTGATCTGATGGAAGAAAGAGAAACCTTGGCCTCATTTCGATTGAATTAAACCAACCAATAACTGCAAGGAAAATTCAGTCAAATGGACATTTTAACATGCTGTTGATCAAACATGTGATCTGATTGGCAACAAAGAAAAACTCGTGGAGAATATACAACTTCAAAATTTCTTCCATCAACTCAAGAAAACACAGTTTGTTAATAAGTAGAAGTTTCATGTTTTCTCAGTTATTCTTGTTGATTCACTAACAGGCCAAGGAAAAGGATATATGTCAATGGATTCTGAGGCAAATGACCACAAAGTAGCCCTCCACAGATATATTTGGTACTCCCAAGCAGAATGAAGTCCCGACCACCACAATAAAATGCACTTGCTAAGAGGGTTTTAGCATACCTCAAACTCTCCTGATTGCTCTGGAAACTGGTTTAAAACCTGCCTGTGTACAGGTGCAAGTACTTGGTAAAAACATAATTTGTGAGACTGAGCAAGCCAAAAGTCAAGCTGCATCCAGATATTCCAAGAATTATACATTTTATTAGAAGAAATCAGCTCAGATTTGTCTGACATCTATTCCTGACAGCAAATATGTATGCTATTTCTATGCAGTTAATCTAAAATCACTTAGCATTACTTAGATTTGATTCAAGTCTTCTCCTCTTACTTTACTCATATAATGACTACAGTGTGAGTTAGAGCTTTGCAGGGGTACACACACACACACACACACAGACAAGACACATTATATTAGTGTGTTTGAGTGTGTGTATTTCTAAATAGGCTTAAATTCACATATTCTTGGTTAATGATGTGAAATGTTTTATTTGTAAATTTTTCCATTGATAGAGCCTAGATCAGTTGTTCTTAAACTTTAATGAATATAAATGTTACCTAGGGAGTTTATTTTAAAATGTAGATTCCTGAACTACACCATGAAAATCCCAATTTTATTAATCTAGAGTAAGGCCCAGAGATCTGCATTTTAATAAGCATCTTTGGCGTTTCTGATTCAAGAGGTCTTTGACTTCACTATAAGAAACAAGGGTCTAGAGGGTCTAGGATTTTTGTTTGAATTTGTCTCAATGATTAGTTAGGAGAACACATAGAATTACTTTAAACCTGCAATAGCAGACAACTTGATTTAGTTTCACCACCCTCATTATGTAAAGGAGGAATGCAAAGCCCAGAAACATGCAATGATGCAATATTAGTTAAAATAATAGCTAATATTTGCAGTATGTTACCAGACACTGTGTAAGTACTTTGCCTTTATTATCTTATTATTCTTTAATAATCATATTATTATCCCTATTGTGTAGATGACAGAACCAAAAATTAAAGAGCATACATCGCTTTCTTCAAGTCGCAAGACTAATACATTTGGAGTTGGCATTGAAACATGGGCCATCAGAGTACACAGTAGAAGAGCAACAACAAAAGTAATAATAACAATAGAAATAAACCAACATTTGCCAAGTGCCCATTATGTACCAGACTCCCTGCTAAGTTTTCTATGTGGATTAATTTTGTTTTCCTCACTTAACTCTACAAGGGTGGAATTATAATTATTCCCTCTTTATGGATGCAGAAACTGAAACTAAGAGAGAATAAGTAACTTGCTCTACATCGTACAGAATGAAGGAGCTTGGTTATGAACTCCAGGGTTTAGCTGTAAAGCTCATTCTCTTAGCCCCTAAGACAAGAGTTTGAAATTGCTTGACTTCCAGTTGAGTCCTCTTTCCAGTACCACAGATAACTGAAAATATAGAGTAGTGTCTTACCAGGACCCAACAGGAAATGCATTATTGGCATCGATGTATAAACATGTGTATGAATGATATGGTTTGGCTTTGTTTCCTCACTCAAAGGTCATCTTGAATTGTAATCTCCACATGTCAAGGGAGAGACCGTGTGGGAGGTGGTTGGATCATGAGGTCGGTTTCCCCCATGCTGTTCTCTTGATAGTGAGTGAGTTTTCATGAGATCTGATGGTTTGCTCACCACTCTCTCTCTCCCGCTGCCATGTAAGATGTGCCTCTTCCCCTTTTGCCATGATTGTAAGTTTCCTGATGCCTCCCCAGCCCTGTGGAACTGTGAGTCAATTAAACTTCTTTTCTTTATACATTACCCAGTCTTGGGTATGCCTTTATAGCAGTGTGAAAGCAAACTAATACTACGAACATGTACATTTATGTATCATTTAGGATTCTTTTTTTCTTTTTCCTTTTTAGCAATTGCAGGACATTTAGGATTCTTAATTGCATGTAACAGAAATTGATTGGAACTAACTGAAGCTGAGTGACAGTTTACATGAAGGATCTAGAGGAAGAAGATATAAAACACATAATTATTAATACATAATAGATGAACTCCTTTGTCATGGCAGAATATTTAAGCCACTGGTACATCTGCCATGAATGAATGTTAAACCAAAGATTAAAAGTGCTAAGCAGGAAGATGTCAGTAGCCAAGGATGTGTCAATTGACTGCATTTTACCCTGCAAGGTGTGGGAGAGAATGTACCTGCCCCTGCCTCTTTCGATGGAGTATTCTTCTAATCAGAACATGGTTGGGTCTTGGTGGCTGAGGAAAACAAATGTCCTGCAGCAATTATCCATAAACAAATGTCTCAATTAGGAACACTCAACAAGGTGATTTCTGACATAAGCCGATACTTTAAGGAAATTTCTTGTAGTTTAGCAAAAAGCATTGAAATATTTTGAGTGAAATATAAATGAAATGTAGTAGCAACATTATCTTTTATGTTTATAAAATTTTAAAATTTGAGGCAATTATGTCATAAAAAGATAAATTAAATTGAATTGTTGAAGCAGAGAGTCAAAATTTAGATGACTTGACCTTGTATTTGTGGATTTACGTTATATTTGTAAGTAGGTCACTGTAGTTAAGATAATAACCTAAACTTTTTGAAAATTCTGGATGGAAGAAGAGAGATAGAAAAGTATTCTACTGAGTCTGGACTATTCTGGTCTTTTTGATGCCTCACATGGGGTCTTAAGAATGAATAACCAAGATATTAGAAAATATTCTGATGTTAAATTATTGTTGGATTTTCTTTTGAGGGACTAAAGAACAGAGCACAACTCTCTATGTGAGGGCAAGGTTTTCCTTGAAGCAAATCAAATTTCCCCCATTAGTCATTCTAGGATATAAAATGGGACCATAGGGAGGAGGCCTCTGGACTTCAGGTAGGGAAAATCTTTTATCTCTGGAGCTTAAGATATTTGGCACAGAAACTATTCTATACAGTCATATATAGTTTTTTTTAACAGCTTTATTGAAGTATAATTGCCATACAATTAACTGCACCTATTTAAAGTGTACAAGTTGATGAGTTTATATATATATATATATATATATTTATGTATCTATGAAAACATCACCAAAATTAAGATAATAAATATATCCATAATTTCTGCAAGTTTCATTAAGTCCTTTGTAATTTACCTTTAACTTCTCCATCTGCCATCATTGTCCCCAGGCAGCCTCTGATGTGTGCTATCTTTCTTAATGCATTACATATTTTAGTATATATGAATGTAATCATGTAATATGTACTGTTTTGTCTAACTTCTTTCATTCAATATACATTTTGAGATTCTCCATTTTTCTGTATGTATGAGTAAAATACTTCATTCATTTTTATTGCTGAGGAGGATTCCATTTTATGGATATAGCACAATTGGTTTAACTATCCATTTTTAAACATTTTAGTTGTTTGCATTATTGGCTATTACAAATAAAGCTTTTATGAGAATTTGCTTACAAACTTTTGTCTGAATGCAATGGCTAATTTTATGTATTAACTTCACTGGGAAAACGGATGCCCAGAAAGCTGGTAAAACATTGTTTCTGGGTGTGTCTGTGAGGTGTTTTTGGAAGAGATTAGCATTTGAACCAGTAGTCTGGGTAAGAAGATCTCCCTCACCAATGTGGGGTGTGTATCATTCAATCTATTGAGAGCATATTATTTTTTGATTTTTGAACTATGGCTATTCTGGCAGGAGTAAGGTGGAATCACATTGTGGTTTTGATTTGCATTTCCCTGATAATTAGTGATGTTGAGCATTTTTGCATGTATTTGTTGGCCATTTCTGTATCTTCTATTGAGAATTGTCAATTCATGTTCTTAGCCCACTTTTTGATGGGATTATTTATTTATTTTTCTTGCTGATTTGCTTGAGTTCTTGTATATTCTGGATATTAGTCTTTTGTCAGATGCATGGTTTGGGAAGATTTTCTCCCACTCTGTGGGTTGTGTGTTTACTCTGCTGATTATTTCCATTGCTGTGCAGAAGCTTTTTAGTTTAATTAAGTCCCATCTATTTATCTTTGTTTTTGTTGTATTTACTTTTCGGTTCTTAGTCATGAAGTCTTTGCCTAAGCCAATATCTAGAAGTGTTTTTTTCTGATGTTAACTTACAGGATTTTTATGGTTTCAGGTCTTAGATTTAATTCTCTGATCCATCCCAGCACCATTTGTTGAATAGGGTGTACTTTCCCCATTTTATGTTTTGTTTGCTTTGTCAAAGATCAGTTGTCTGTAAGTATTTGGGTTTATTTCTGGGTTCTCTTCTGTTTCATTGGTTTATGTGACTGTTCTATACCACTGCCATGCTGTTTTGGTAACTCTAGTCTTGCAGTCTAGTTTGAAGTCGGGTAATGTGATGCCTCCGGATTTTTTCTTTTTGTTTTGTCTTGCTTTGGCTATGTGGGTTCTTTTTTGGTTCTATATGAATTTCAGGATTTTTTTTTCTTGTTTTGTGAAGAACGATGGTGGTATTTTTATGGGAATTGCATTGAATTTGTAGATTGTTTTTGAAAGTATGGTAATTTTCACAATACTGATTCTACTAATCCATGAGCATGGGATGTGTCTCTATTTGTTTGTATGTCTATGATTTCTTTCAGCAGTGTTTTGTAGTTTTCCTTGTAGCAATCTTTCACCTCCTTGGTTAGGTATATTTCTGAGTATTTTATTTTATTTTTATTTTTGCAGCTATTGTAAAAGGGGTTGAGTTCTTGATTTGATTCTCAGCTTGGTTGCTCGTGGTGTATACCAGTGCTACTGATGTGTGTACATTGAGTTTGTATCCTGAAACTTTACTGAATTCATTTATCAGAACTAGGAGCTTTTTGGATGAGTCTTTAGGGTTTTCTAGGTATACAATCATATCACTGGCAGACAGCGACAGTTTGACTTCCTCTTTACTGATTTGGATGCCCTTTATTTCTTTCTGTTGTCTAATTACTCTGGCTAAGACTTCCAGTGCTGTGTTGAATAGAAGTGATGAAAGTGGGCATTCTTGTCTTGTTCCAGTTTTCAGGGGGAATGCTTCCAACTTTTCTCCATTCAATATAATGTTGGCTGTGGGTTTGCCATAGATAGCATTTATTACCTTAAGGTATGTCCCTTCTATACCGATCTTGCTAAGTGTTTGAAAAACTTGTTTTTTAATGTTTGTCTTATATCCTAAATTCACTGAACTCATTTACTAGCTCTAGTATGTTCTTTTATAGACTCCTTGGGATTGTCTCACAGGAAATCATTTCATCTGCATGCCCTTTATTTCTGTTTCTTGCTTTATTGTGCTGGTAGAACTTCTAGTGTTTTGTTAAATAAATATGGAGATAGTGGATATCCTTACCGTATTTCTAATCTTAGAGGTAAAGCAATCTGTCACCATTACATATACATATAATATTATCTTGATTAGCAATAATAGTCATAATATTATTTTGTAGATGCTCTTGATCAAGTTGTGGAAGTTACCATTATTTCTGTATTTCTAGAGTTTTCATCATGAATCATGTTATGTTTTGTAAGTCTTTTTCTAAATAAGTTGATATGACCATATGCTCTTTCTTCTTTAACTATTAATATGATGGATTCCACTGACTGATTATGCAATATCAAATCAACCTGGAGAACATCCACTTGGCCTTTGCATATAATTGTTTTTATATATTGTATAATTCTGATTGATATTATCAGTTAAGGCTTTTTTGCATCTATATTTATGATGACTATTGGTCTGCAGTTTTCTTTTTTGTAATATCTTTGTTTAATTTTCCCTCTGGGTAATAACAAATAAAAATAGGTGTCCCTACTTTTATTTCCTAGAAGAGATTGTGTAGAATTGGTGCTGATTTTTCATTAAATATTAGGTAGAATTCTTAAGGAAAATAGCTAGTTCTAAACATCTCTATTTGGGAAGTTTTAAAATTAAGAATTCAATGGCTTCACTATGTATAGGTAAACTTACATTATCTATTTCATATTGGGCATGCTGTAGTTGCCTGAGTTTTTAAAGGAATCTGTCTATTATATCTAGGTTGCCAAATGTATGGGTGTAGAATTGTTTGTAGTATTTCTTTACTATCCTTTTGATATCTTCAGTATCTGTAGTAACATCCCCCATTCACGCCTGATAATTGTAATTTTTGTCTTCTCTTTATTTTCATTGTCTTGTTAGATGTTTGCCAGTTTTTAAAAAAATAACCAACTGTTTTGTTGACTTTTTGTATGGTTTTAATTTGTCTACTTTCTTCATTTGGCTTATTATTTGATTCCATGTATTTTTTGAGTTTATTATGCTTTTTTTCCCTAGGTTCTGGAGTTTGAAGTTTATTCATTTGAGATTTTTTTTGTTGCATTTACTGCTATAAATTTCACTTGTTTCACTTTATATACTCTTTTAGCTGTGCCTCACAAATTTTAATGTTTTAAAATTTTAATATTTTTATTTACACTCAATTCTATATATTATTTCATTTTCCTTCACATTTCCTCTTTGACTTATGAATAATGTAGAAATATATTGCTTAGTTTCAAGGTGTTTGAAGATTTTTTGTTAGGTTTTGTTAATAATTTCTTATTTGATTCTACTGTGGTCAGAAGACACTCCATATTATTTCAATGCTTTTTAATTTGCTGATGTTATTTTATAGCTCAGCATATAATTTAACTTGATATATTTTCTGCTGGCACTTGAAAATAATGTATATTCTGCTGTTGGCTGGAATGCTTTTTAGAGGCTAAACAAATCCTTTTAGTTTATATGCTCTTCAGTTCTTCAATATCCTTTCTGATTTTCCATCTAGTTGTTCTATCAATTGTTGAGAGAGGGCTGTTGAAGTCTCTAATTATAATTTTATGTCAGTCTTCTTCTCCTTTCAGTTTTATCAGCTTTTGCCTCACTTTTTACCACTGTTTTTTGATGTATAGATGTTAGAATTTGTATAACATTTTAATGTGTTGAATTATTTATTATTATTTAATATCTCACTCCTTGCTCTTAGATCTACTTTGTCTGACATTAATATAGCCACCCTTGTTTTTATTTGTTTAATTATTGCATGGTATATATTTTTTTCCTCCTTTTACTTTCAATATGACTATTTTCATATATTTGAAGTGAGTTTCTTATACAAGGAATACAGAGGGGTCATGCTTTTTGTAAATCCACTGTGCCAATCTCTATCTTTTAGTTGATGCATTTAGACCATTTATATTTAATGTAGTTATTGATGTGCTATGGCTTAATTTGGGTATTTTGTTTATTTATTTTTGTTTTCTTTTTGCTCTCTCTGTTTTTCATTTATCTGGTTCTTTTTTATTTTCTGTGGGTTACCTGAACATTTCTTAAGGTTTATTTTGATTTATTTGTATGGATTTCCTAATGGTTGCTCTTGGCCTTAACTTATACATACATAACTTATAGTTGACTGATGTTATTTTATCAGGTTGAATGAATTGCGAAGCTCTTATGTCTTTTTTGTAATTTTATTCTCTCTCATCTATAACATAATTATCTTAAATATTTTCTCTCTACGATTCTCATATCTTTAGAATCACATCTGGCAGTGTTATACTTTTTACTTCAACAAATATAATTTTAAAAATTCAAGAGAAAAATGTTTAATGAATTAATCTATGTTTTGCTTACTATGTTATTTCTTATTTCATAATTATTACACAGTTCTTTCTTACATCATTCTATTTCTGTTTAGAGAACTTCCTTTGCTGTTTTTAGGGTAAGCCTACTATTGAAAAGTTCTCTTAGTTCTCCTTCCTCTGAAAGTTACTTTATTTTTTCTTAACTCCTGAAGTATATATTTTCTGAGTATAGGATTTTTAATTGATAAGTTCTTCCTTATAAGCACTTGAAAATATGCCACTTTCTTTTGGCCTCTTGAATTTTCATGGAAAATCCACTTAAAATCTTATTTTCCCCAGAGGTAACTACTATGTTTCTCAAGATTTTTCTTTGTCTTTAGTTTACAAACTTCAGTTCTTATAGAATATTTTTCTTTGTTTTATCCTGTTTGAATTTGCCTGACTTCTTACATCTGTAGTTTTAAGACTGAAGCTTAATTTGGCAGGTTTTTAGCCATGATTTCTTTAAGTACTTTTTCAGCCCCATCTCCATTCTCCTCTTTTTCTGGATCTCTGGTGACAAAAATAATAGATATCTTGTTACAATTCTAAGGGTTCCTGAAGCAAAGTTCAATTTTTTTTTAGTCTGTTTTTTTTCCTGTTGTTCATATTGGGTAATTTCTATTGGCTATCTTCTGTTGCACTGATTCTTTCCTCTGTCTATGGCATTAGGCTATTTATGTGAAATGCCCATCTGCTAAGCATTTCATATAAATTAACTGCGTTTTTCAATTCTAAAATAACAATTTGTATCTTCTATACAGGTTCTGTTTCTTTGCTGAGACTTTCTGTTTCTTTGTTAAATTTTTCTATTTTTTCATTTGTTCATAGTATGTGTATTGGTTCATTTTCACACTGCCGATAAAGACATGCCCAAGACTGGAAACAAAAGAGGTTTAATTGGACTTAACAGTTGCATGTGGCTGGGAAGGCCTCAGAAATATGGTGGGAGACGAAAACAAATTCCGAATTATGGTGGGAGGCAAAAGGCAATTCTCATATGGCGGTGGCAAGAGAAAATGAGGAGGAAGCAAAAGTGGAAACCCCTGGTAAACCCATGAAATCTCATGAGACTTAGTCACTATCATGAGAATAGCATGGGAAAGACTGGCTCCCATGGTTCAATTACCTCCCTCTAGGTCCTTCCCATAACATGTGGGGATTCTGGGAGATATAATTCAAGTTGAGATTTGGGTGGGGACACAGCCAAACCATATCAGTATATATTAATTGGTCGTTGAAGCATTTTTATCATGGCTTTTTAAAGTTTTTGTCAGAAATTTTTAATACCTCTGACATATTAATGTTGGCATTTACTTATTACCTTTTAAGTAAATGCCAACATTAAGTTTGGTTTGAGGAAAATATTTTCTCCTCTTCCTTGTTCTTTGTATGAGAAGTGAGTTTTGATTGAATCCTGGATATTTTTCACTTTATGCCATAAGACTCTGTATTTAAATCTATTTAAGTGCCTCATTACTGCCAAGTATTACTGCCAGGTAAAGGTATACATCCAAGTTTTTCATTTAGCATCCACTGACAAGCAGTATGGGGGTGCTCCTCATTACTATTGAGTGAGAGTAGGATTTCCCGCTTCACATGTGATCTCAGCTGACGCTATAAGGTGTCAATGGATTGCAGCAATGAAATTATAACTCCATACATGGTTCTCACTGACACTATTCAGGTGTGTGTATGTTGGAGCCACAAAATTTCTTTCTGTAGTGTTTGGCTGAAAAGAGAGATTATTCTTTAAAAGCTTCATGTTCTGCCTGCTGTCTATTTCTGGTCCTGCAGTAAAGAGAGCAGGGATTTTCTTGAGGGTTTGTGTGTCACCTTTATTGATGATGCTTCCAGTGTGTGGGCTTCATCATTTTCATATTTGGGACACGTGAAGGAAGAATAAAATCCAAGGGGTTTACCTTATCTCATCCCTCTGGTCCTGACATCTCCTTCCAATAAGTTGTCTTCTCTCCACCTTTCAAGATTTTCTAATGGCATGTGTGTGTGTGTGTGTGTGTGTGTGTGTGTGTGTGTGGTCTTGTATTCTTGGTTGTATTTAGCAGAAGTAATAGGGAAAACTATGTCTACTCCTTGTTCCTAGAAGTAGAATTTCTTTATCCCAATTTTTAATTGGATTGTTTGTTGTTATGGCCTAAATTGTGGCCCCATCCCAAATTAATATGTTGAAGCCCTAAACCCCAATGAGACTATCTGTGGAGATAAGGCTTTTAAGGAGGTAATTAAAGTTAAATGAGGCTATAATGGTGGGCCCTAATCCAATATAATTTGTGTTCATACGAGAAGAGGAAGAGACATCAGGAGTGTGCACACACAGAGAAAAGACCATGTGAAGACACAATGAGTATGTGGCTGTCTGCAAGACAGAAAGAGAGGCCTCACCAGTAACTAACCATACTGACAACTTAATATTGAACTTTAGCCTTCAGAACTATGAGAACATAATTATACAAAATATGAAAAATATGAAATTATGAAAATTATGAAAAAATTATGGAAATTATGAAAATTATGACAAATATGATAATATAGTGTTCTGGTATCAGAAACAATTTATTGTTTAAACCACCTCATTGTGGTATTTTGTTATCACATCCCAAATAGTCAAATACATTAGTCTTCTCAATATTGGCTTGGAAGAGTTCATTATTTCTATTAGACCAACTCATTATATTAGGTTCAAATATATACTTTCTAAATATTTTCTTTCAGGTGATGCTTTTATTTAAAAAAAATTACAATACCTTTGAAGAGCAATAATATTAACTTTAATAATATAAAATTATTTATTTTTTGTTTAATTAATGCCTATTTTTGTCCATTTTAAGCCCTAAACCACAGAATTTCTAGGAAGTTTTCGTCTTACAGTTTTATGGTTTTAACTTTCACATTTAGATCTGATATTTATTTTGAGTTACTCTTTTGCATATGATAAAATAAAAGTGGAGGTACAATTTTTTAAATATATGGCTGTAAAATTGTTTATCAGAATCCTTTAATAAGAAAATAATTATTTATCTGTTAAATTGCCTTACTTTCTTTGTTGTACATATATTGACCTTGTATGTATAAGTTTATTTCTAGATTTTCTATTATGTTCCATCAATATATAGCTACCTTCATGTCAATATTAAACTATCTTTATTGCTGTAGCTGTGTAATAAATCTTAAAATCAGGTATTATAAATCCTTCAAATTTCTTCTTTTTGACAATTTTACGACTTTTACTTTTCCATATATATTTAGAATCATTTTGACAATTTCTACATAACATTGTTTGCATTTTGATTTAATTGATTTGAATCTATAATTTGTGTAGAATAAGGTTTTTAAAAATAATATTTTGCATTCCAATCCATTAATATGGTATATAGCTACATTTATTTAACCTATTTTTTAGTTCTTCTCAGCAATGATTTGTAAATTTTACTAGTTTTTCCACATCTTTTTTCAAGCAATTTATATTATTTAAGGCTATTATAAATGACATTTTAAAATTTGATTTTTGTTGCTACAAGTATAAATACAATTGGTTTACACATATTGATTTTCTAGCCTGCAAGCTGCCTACTTTCACTAATTTATTCTTCATATTTTGTACATATATGCACAGATTACTTTATTTGTTTATATTTTGCACATATATGGCTACATTGCCTGTAAATGTCAATGTCAACTTTACTTGCTTCTTTTTTTTTTAAATGAACTGATTTATAAGAAATGAATATATAGAAACACATAATACCCTTGAATGGAAAATCTGAATATTTTGAAGATATCTATTCTTCCAAAGTCAATATATAGATTTAACAACATACAACATCTTAAAGAAATTTTAGGGGATTGAGAAAAAAATCAGTCTAGATCCTAACCACATGAACTTTACCAAAATTAATTTCCAATATAGAGTTATTATAAAATTATCAAGGCAGTTAAATACTAGATAAAATCGAAGTTTATATTTGTAAAACCTCTCAATCAGTGGAGAATTTCTAAGCTTAAAAGCAATGGAAGAAATAACAAATAACAATAATAATAATTCATTGACTGAATACTTCCAAAGATACTGTGGAAAATTATACTAAATAACAAAGAAACTTTTTTAAGTCAAAAAATCACAGTCAGAAAAAAAACTGGAAAATATTCGTGATAAATATGAAAAAGTTTGATAGACTTGATATTCTTACCACACAAAACACAAATTATAAAGGAAAAAAAAAAAGACCTCAGTAAGTAAATGGACAAAGAAAATAAATTGCAAACCACCAATGAGGAACTATAAGCCAGTAATGAAAAAACACTCAATTTTACTAATACTCAGTAAAATACAACTCAAAGTGACAATATCTTTTTGACAAAAACATTTTAAGGGAAAATTATGTATTAGTTAATTTAGATCACATCTTTTTTCTCTAAGAACTTAAAGTAGTTAAAAAATCAATTGTAAAAATTGTTTTTAAGGTGAGAAAACCAGATTGAAGCCAAAATAAAGTGAAACAGTAAGCCTTCCATGATACTGCAAAGTGAGCTTTTAAACTCTCTACTGGCCAATGGCAAAATAAACACACATAGCTGTAAGACTCCAAATGACTATGGATACCAGTTGTTCACTTTTCCTTGGCAATGAAATCTGAGACCAATTTCTCTACCATGCTTTTTCTATTATTATTATTATTATACTTTAAGTTTTAGGGTACATGTGCACAACGTGCAGGTTTGTTACATATGCATACATGTGCCATGTTAGTGTGCTGCACCCATTAACTCATCATTTAACATTAGGTATATCTCCTAATGCTATCCCTCCCCCCTCCCCCAACCCCACAACAGGCCCCAGTGTGTGACTTCCCCCTTCCTGTGTCCATGTGTTCTCATTGTTCAATTCCCACCTATGAGTGAGAACATGCGGTGTTTGGTTTTTTGTCCTTGCGATAGTTTGCTGAGAATGATGGTTTCCAGCTTCATCCATGTCCCTACAAAGGACATGAACTCATCCTTTTTTATGGCTGCATAGTATTCCATGGTGTATATGTGCCACATATTCTTAATCCAGGCAATACCATTCAGGACATGGGCATGGACAAGGACTTCATGTCTAAAACACCAAAAGCAATGGCAACAAAAGCCAAAATTGACAAATGGAATCTAATTAAACTAAAGAGCTTCTACACAGCAAAAGAAACTACCATCAGAATGAACAGTCAACCTACAGAATGGGAGAAAATTTTTGCAATCTACTAATCTGACAAAGTGCTAATATCCAGAATCTACAATGAACTCAAATAAATTTACAAGAAGAAATCAAACAACCCCATCAGCAAGTGGGTGAAGGATATGAACAGACACTTCTCAAAAGAAGACATTTATGCAGCCAAAAGACACATGAGAAAATGCTCATCATCACTGGCCATCAGAGAAATGCAGATCAAAACCACAATGAAATACCATCTTACACCAGTTAGAATGGCAATCATTAAAAAGTCAGGAAACAACCGGTGCTGGAGAGGATGTGGAGAAATAGGAACACTTTTACACTGTTGGTGGTACTGTAAACTAGTTCAACCACTGTGGAAGTCAGTGTGGCGATTCCTCAGGGATCTAGAACTAGAAATACCATTTGACCCAGCTATCCCATTACTGGGTATATACCCAAAGGATTATAAATCATGCTGCTTTAAAGACACATGCACACGTATGTTTATTGCAGCTCTATTCACAATAGCAAAGACTTGGAACCAACCCAAATGTCCAACAATGATAGACTGCATTACTTGTTTCTTAAAATTGACATTATGCATGCCTCAGCATGCCTTTTATTTTTCTCCTCTTATTTCAATAATAAGAACCTCTAAAACAATATTGAATAGAAGTGGAGAGAATGGATATTCTTACCGTATTCCAGATAACACAGGAATAGCATTTATTCTTTCTTCATTAAGTTTACTACTAACTGCATTTATTTTTTTCAGATGCCCTATAAGAATTTTCTATTCTGCTAAGAGTTTTTGTCATGAATAGTAAATATTTTTAAATATTGATTAATGTGGTTAATTACATTTATTAATTTTTAGATATCAAATCACTGTTGTATTCCTGGAACAAATCACACTTGGTCAATGGATATTTCTCTTTTCATATATTACTGGATTCAATGTACAAAATTCTGTTAAGAATTTTGCATATATATATATATATATATATATGATATTCGTTTTGGCTTTCTTTTCTTAAAATTGACATTTTTGACTTAGAGATCCAGATAATGTTGACCTCATAAGAATGAGTGGAAACTATACCCTCCTCTTCAATATTCTGGAACCATTTGTTTACCATTGGCATTATTTTTTCCTCAATAGCTTTGTAGAATTCATCAGTAGATTCATCTTGGCCTGGAGTTTCCTTTGTGCATTTTTGAGCTACAGATTCAATTTCTTTAAAAAAAAATAAGTTTATTAAATGTACCTATTTCTCCTCAAAGGACCATTGATTTTTTAATATAATTTGTCCATTTAATCTATATTTTCAAACTCACTGGGAAAAAGTTGTTTATAATTCACTTATCCTTTTCACTTTTGCTAGAATTGTAGAAATATACCTTCTCTCATTTCTTATATGGGTAATTTATGATTCTCTTTTTCTCCCTGAACAATCTGGTAAGAAGTCATAAATTTTATTCATCTTTTCAAATAATCATTGTTTGTTCACCATGAGTTAAAATTTTTTTTGTAGTCTATGTTATTTCTTTTTGTTCTTATTTTGATTACTCTTTGCCTTCTGCTAACTTTTGGTTTGATTTCTTTTCCTGAGTTCTGAAGGTAGAACCTAGATAATCAATTTGCATCCTTTCTTCTCTAATATAATTCTTCAGTAATATAAAATTAGTTTTAATCATTGCTTTAGCTGCATCTCACAAATTTTGATATGCTATGTTTTCATTTTTCATTTAGGACAAAATACTTCTGATTTCCCATTTGATTTTTTAATTGACCCTTGTGTTATTTAGAAGTTTCTTTTGATTTCAAATATTTAGTATTTTCCAGATACCTTTCAATTTAATTCCGCTGTGATTAGACAATGCACTTTGCATATTTTTAATCTTTTAAATTATCGAGACTTATTTTAGAACCCAGAATATGGTCTATCTTGGTGAATGTTTTATGTTCATATGGAAATAATGTGTATTCTGTTACTGTTGGGTGAAATGTTCTCTAAGTGTTAGTGATGTTCACATTCTCTATATCCTTACTAATTTTCTTCTACTTGTTGTGAGCAAATACTATGAAAATTTCTGAGTGTAAATTTGGATTTGTCATTTCTTCTTGTAGTTTTATTAGTTTTTCATCTTGTGTTTTGAGAGTCTGTTATTAGTTACATAAACACTCGTGATTAATGTTGTCTTGATGAATTTATCCCTTTATCATTATAAAATGACTGCTTCTTTTCCTGATAATATGCTTTGTTCTGACATCTGCTTTGTGTATAGCCACTTCACTACTCTTACAGTGTTATAGAATTTTATCTGTTTGATATCATTGCATATCTTTTCCCATCCTTTTACTTTTAATCTGTCTTTCTCCTTAATTTAAAGTGGGCTTTATTTTTTCTAGTTAGGATTGCATTTGCCTTTTTCATTGAGCTATTTAGACCACTTATATTTATTGTAATGATTTATATAATGCCATATTAATATTTATTATCTATTTTTCTCATTTGATGTTTGTTCTGTTCTATTTTACTACTTTTTCTGACTTTTTATGAATTCAGTATTTTTGTATTATTCCATTGTATTTCCCGTTTGTATTATTCATTACAACACTTTTTAAAAAATGTTAGATATAAAGTTTATAATAAATTATGACAATTATATTTTTAAAGGTATATAACTTTGTAAAAATGTATTTATCTACATATTTTGTGTTCTTCATTTCTTTGTGTAGATGTAGATATCTGTACTATTTTTCTTATGCCTAACAAAGTTCTTTTAACATTTTTAGTAGTGCAGATCTGTTGATGAATTTTCCCAGCTTTGTGTATCTGAAAAAGTCTTTTTTTCACTCTTGAATCTGTAAAGATATATTCCTCATTATAGCATTCTAGGATTTCAGACTTTTTTTTTCAGTATTTTAAATATATTACTTCGTCACCTTCTGGCTTGAAATGTGTCTGATGAAAAGCTTGCTCTCATTCTTACTATTATCTTCTTTCTTCTGGTTGCTCTTAATTTTTTTTATCATTTATTTTTAAAACTTTAAGTACAATATGTCATGCTGTAGTTCTTTTCATGTTTTTTGTACTCATGTTTTCTGAGATTCTTGAATCTATTAGCTCATATTTTTATGAAATGGTTAATATTTTTGGCCATTATTTATTCAAATATTTGTCTGTCCTTCTCTCTCCCTTTTCTGTTTTGAGAACTTCAGTAATTTTTATTTTGTCACTCTAAGCTGTCCTGTAGCCCACTGAAAAAGTATGAGTGTTTTTTCTCCCTTTGCTTTATTTTAGATATTTTCTATTAATTTCTTTTTATATGTCCTTAATTTTAAGTATTTCTTATTCTGTAGTGTCTACTATGCTTTTATTCTTTATATTTTATATTTTATTTTTTGTAGAGGCAGGTCTCACTATGTTGCCTAGGGTGCTCAAATTCTTGCCCTCAAGCAATCCTCCTGCCTCAGCCTCCCAATGTGCTGGTATTACAGTCATGAACTACCACACCTGGTCTAATAGGGCTTTAATAAGATTCAGTGGAATTTTAAAATCTCAGACATTGTTTATTGTATCTCTAAAAGTTAGATTTGGTTCTTTTTATATTTTTCACATATCTCCTGAACATGTTCACGCTTGCCCCCACTTTTTAAAACATATATTATGCCAATGCATTATATCCACAGACATAATGTATTTTATGCATTTTGCCAATGCATACAATACTGTTTTAGTGTCCAGGTCTACTAATTCTATTATCTATATAATTTTTGTTTCTAATAATTGATTTTTGTTTGTAGTTTCCTTCTTCTGTGCAGGACTTATAATTTTTGATTAGACAGTAGACGGTGGATTTTTCAGTGTTGGTGATTGATACATATGTATTCCTTTAAATATTTTTGTTTTTTGTTTTGGAATACTATCAAATTACTTGGAAACAGTTTATTATTTTGAGGCTTATTTGTATGCCTTATTAGATAGGTCTTGATTCTAGGACTATTTTTGCTTCACTACTGAG
Source organism: Homo sapiens (assembly GCF_000001405.40). NCBI lineage: Eukaryota > Metazoa > Chordata > Mammalia > Primates > Hominidae > Homo > Homo sapiens. Next base: position 103,522,352 of record NC_000002.12, read on the forward strand.
GCAATAGTCTTCTGAATCCCCAGTGCATTGTCTATTACAAGGTTTTTCTACTTTGGCTGATGGGAATATGAGCTATTCTAAATCCTACATAATCTTCTTAGATTGTTCAGCTTGCTCCATTTTGGTGTTTTCCTTTCTTTACTGAATAGTTTCCTCACACCCATGCACTGATTAGTACTCAGCTGAAGACTCGAAAAAAACTCTCTTCACCTCTCCAGAGCTCTCTGAGCAACTCTTGCTTCTGTAGTACTTGGCTCTGTGACTTCTAGCTGCCTTGAACTTTCCAACTTTTCTACTCTGTCTCCTCAACTCAGAGATACATTCAGGCTTTCTTTGGTTTCTGCCCTTCTGCACTGTAGTCTGTAAATTCTCTCCAGCTTACAGCAATTGAAGGGCTTATCTTATTCATTTTTTCCTTCTTTCAGTGACCAATGTCTTGATTTGTCTGGTGTCCAATGTATGCAATCAAATATTTGTTCCATATAATTTTTCCAATGTGATTGTTTAAAAAGAGAAGGTAAGGTGAGTCATATATATATAACATATATATAACATATATGTTACATATATAACATACATGTAACATGTATAACATATATAACATATATGTAACATATAACATATATAACACATATATAACATATATATAAACACATATATACATATATATAATATTATAGTAAGAAAAGAATATTTTCTTCTTGGACTTGTTATGTGGAAATGAGCATCCATTTCCTGTTTTGGGACAGATGTAAAGAAAGGTAAGAGGCAGTCTGGCATCAGGCTCTTTGGGAGACCTGGGATACGGCTATATGTTACTGTCTGTATACATTTACCTCCATTATACTTAGTCCTTTATAAAGAGCTTGATAAGTTAAAATGAAGGATCTAGCATTCTGTCAAAAGGAGAAAAGCCATCACAGTTTTGTACAGACTACCTAGAAGAAAACAGTGTCTCTAAATCTGGAGCTAGAACCCCGCAGTGATGATAATTGGAAATAAATAACTTAGCTCTGAGGAAAAGTGGGCAGGCTTTTGCAACAGCAAGAGTAGAGGACTGTATCACTGTAATTTTAAGATTTTGTAGTTCATGGAACAAAAACACTCAGTGAAAAGAAACTGGGGTAAAATTTTCATAGAGAAAAATATTGTCACCGTGAAGAGAAACTTTAATGTTGTCTCATTCCAAGCTGCTTATAGGACTTTATTAGGGTCAAACTGTTGCATTGCAAAGGCGATATTCATGAAAGAAAAAGAAAGTATAAATAAAGTAATTATTATTTGTTTCATACTGGGCATGACACTACTGTGTTCAACTAGGCATTGATAGAACTGTTTGATAATTACATATAAATTAATCAGAAAAATAATCAATAGGAGATATAAATACGGTAATACAGGTTTAAAATATGGGGGAAAAGAAACAAGAGTTAATGAAAACAGGTTAGGTCATTTATTCATATTTTCTTTGAGGAGTCAATAAATACTATCTAAAATGTATATAAAAAAGTATATTATTAGGAATAAAAAAGGTGACTTCAAGGAGACATAAAATCAGAAGCCAAAAGGTGCTGTCTGTGGGGTTTGTCACTATGATAAGGATTCTAGGAGACTATATTAAACTATTTTATTATAATCTTATGTGCTTTTGTTTCTTTAAAAAAGTACCTAAAAGACTAAGACCCAATTATCTGTAATGCTTTTATATAGAATAACTTGTGCTCTGATATTGGAATTAAACACTAAAACACATAGAGACAAAACTTTTAGAAATCCACCTCAAATTGTATTTTTTTCTATTGTGACTCTGCTGAATTTAAAATAAGTGTAACCAAAAAATATGTAAAGAGAAACTGAGAACCCAGATTTCAATATTAAGAGGCATTGTACAGCACAATGGGATTCTCAATCTGTTCTATCCATATTAAATTTCCTGGTGACCACGATAGCAAGCAAATTTCCACAGCCTTTGTAGCAACTTCTACATATTTTACATCTAAACCACCTGTTCAAAAGAACCAAACAATTACATGGGCAGCCAAACAATGTCAGAATACCTAAAGAAAACTTACGTCAGATAGGCAAGGTTATGAAGAACAATGTGACCCAAAGAAAAAGCCACCAAGTCTGGTTTAAATGCAAGGACCAAATGAAAGAGATTCTTATGAACAGGAGAATACCATTGTAAAACAAGGACAAAACAGGGTAAAGGCATAAGCATCAACATTTCATATAAATTTCAGAGGTGCTAAATTTAAGGACCCCAAATAAAATATATGCAATGGATAATACTAAATTGAAGTATTTTCTTTTCACAATTTATTATGAGTTAGACCATGTTTTCACCTCTCTTTACATACATGAAGAATCTGTGATCTGGAGACCCTAAAATTACTTGCTATTAAAGTCACAGCATTAACATGAGTCAGAGTCAAAGCTCCAGCCAGAGCTTTAAAACACAACACTATGCTGATTTATTTATAGTAATGAAAAATTATGTTATGCATTACAATGAACCATGCCTCCTAAAGATGTTTCTCTTTTTCATGTCATTCCCTTTGCAAAGAATGTTCTTTTCATGTTCATTCAGCTGAAGAATTCCTACTAATCTTTTTTAAACACACCCAAGCGTTACCTCTTCTGCACAGCTTTTCATAATTTACTATGAAATTTCTTCCCACCTTCCATTCTTGGTATTAAAATCTCACTTTAAACATAGCACTTACCGTTTTAAAATAATATTTCCATTTGTCTCCCCTTGCCAGATTGTGAGATTCCAGAAGAAATTATTTCTTCTGCATGTTTACAACTAGACCAACTTCTAACATGATGAGCAAATGGGAGCAGGCACCACATAAATGTTTTTCATTGATTGAATAAAGAATTATCTGGGAAACTGGAAATAAGCAAAAAAAGATACCTTGAGCTTTTTGTCTCACAGTGCTTTAGATAAGGGTGCTGGTCCTATTTGTTGTTGGAATCACCAAGTAAAGGGAATTTGTGGACCTAAAATGTGGAATTCATGGGAATGACAGAATTAAAGAAATCTTAATGTGCCTCTTTTTATTTATTTTTTCCTCAGATGAAAACAGGTAAATTATGCCAGGCACAATGCTGCTTGTAGAATGGAAGATTATTGTAAAATCCTTGCCAGCTTTCAGTTGCAAACTTGTTTTAGTCTAAGTGGGCTTCACTCATGAAGTCAAAATGGCATAAAACAGAGCTTTTCAACTGTACTCTAACAATTTTGTAATTGCTGAGCTATCAACATTTTTCTCCAACTTTTTTTCCAAAATATTTTTTTTTGGTTTTTGATTCACTACTGGATTTAAATGCTTCTTTTTCCTGCAATCAACTTAAAAGTTTACTTTGTAATTGAGATTTATTTTCCATGAAAATGCACGAGTATTTCATAACGTGAAGGTCTGAACTTGACTTTTAATTCATTTACTTTAAAACCATGAGATGTCTTCCATTTACATAGCTGTTGCCCTAAGTGATGAACTCTACAGATGACTTTCACAAGCTGTCAATTCCCTTTATCTTTGTTCAGTAGTAGAGTAGCTATTCTAAGGAAAGAGGAAAGACAAATTACTGCCAAAGAGTTTATCACTTGAGGGTCATGTGTACATCTGGTTAAACTGTATTAGTCATATGCCATTATGCAACTACCTCTGAAAACCTACAAAACATTTGAGTGAAAAGGTGAAAGACTGGTGATGGAGAAAACGGTGACTTTGCAAGTGTGTTCTCTTAAATCCTCAGGGATTCATTTGGGGTTTCTAATGATTGTTACCCATCATGTCTCCCCTTTTGATTTATGCATTACCCCTCTCCTCCTTTTGGAGTAGAATATAATTTAGCTTGGTGCATCGCTGACTATTCTAGGAACTGTTTTCATAACTTCTTCTGCAAATAGTTGTGAGGTTTATAACTTTGGTCAGAAATATTCTGAGGCAACTCCCAGGAATCCTTTTAAACCACTGTCTATGTAGACCCTTTGTTCTGTTCTGCAGCTCCTCTTCCATATTGTTGTTTGAAATGTGAATGCCGCCATCTTGGACTAGGAAGCTAAGGTGGAAGAAGGTGTAACAGCAACCTAGATGAACGGGCTCAGACACTAGTTCATGACCAGCAACCCCCAGCCACTTAGATAAGAGAGAAATGAACGTTGCTATTGTATTGGGCTTTTGATCCTGCCCAGGCAAACTCACTTGTAACTAATACAATATCACTGTTCATTAACTTTCTGCCCTCTTTTAACACAATATGCTTTTCACAGCATTGTGAAACATACATAGGCTCATTTATCTCCCGTTTAGTATACTTGCTGTTAGCATGATCTTAGAGCACAGTGACCCTATCACTTTCCAGCTATGTGACTCTCAGCAGTTTGCTTTATATGGCTAGGCCTGTTACTTAAATTTATGCAATTAACAGACCTCAAAGCAGGAACTTCTGGCCTTCATGTGGCGGGCATTTTGGTTTGTCTCGGGCCTGCTGCCATTGGTAAGTAGGGGCTGATGTGACTGGACGAAAGGCTTGAGAGGAGAGGCATTGTCTCCGCTGCACAGAGGCAGGTCTGACCCTGGGTTAGGGGCCTTCGTGCCTGGGTCCCTGCCCAGATGGTCCACAGACTCCCAGAAGGTAGTGTGCCGAGGGACCCGGCTCAGGTGAAGATCCTGTTCTCCAGGCCCTCAATTGCCCCCACCCCCCGACTCACACCCTAAAGCCCCAGGAAGGGCTCCTGCTCATGTCCCTGCTGCACAGGCCCCAGTGTCTGGAACAATAAACACTCGTGATGTTATCTCTATTTCTGATTTCTAGTGTGATGGATAGTGGGAGAGTGTTATGAAGATTGGATGTGCCACTGAGCTAGGAGCCTTTGAGAAATTTGGGGTTGAATTTGTGTGTGCAGGGAACAGAATTTCAAGCCTAGATTGGCCTACTGGGATGTTTCAGAATGCTGGAAGCCATAGGGCTGTGAACAGAAGACATGGCCTGAATGAGGCTTTTAAAAGTTTTACAAAAGCTGTTCAGAAGAACAGTCTGGAAGGGGGATAATACTAGGAGGCACAGAGGGATTTAATCCTGGCTGGTAAACGTTAGCAGCAAGGACTGAGAACCAGAGATAATGTTTAGGGTCATTGCAGGTCACCCGGCTTGAGGGCTGAGCAAGGGAACAGGGTAATTGGGAGCCCGTGAGTCCCTCCATAGCCATCTGCCTCTCAGAACTTCCCTCCTCCCAAATATTTACCATTAGCATAGAAATGCTTACAGATCCTCCAAAGGGTTATGTGTCCTTTGAGTATGGTTACATGGCCATTTTCTTCTCAAGAGGAGTGGGAGCTCATTGAGGAGACCGAGAGGCTCCTGTAAGGTGATGTGATGCTGGAGAACATTGCACTTAGAGCATTCCTGGGGCTTGTATCATGCAGGTCCCACGTAGTTGCAGAGCTGCGATTGGGAGTTAGCCCTGGTTGCTTCACAGAGTGGACATATCAAGATACTCTCAGAGGAGGCCTGCCCCTGGTTGTTGGTGTAACAGAGGATCAGCAGAGTGTTTCTGTAGGAGCGTCACTGGTCAAGATACCCAGGGCAGGTCCACCCAGAAGAGTCACCCCTGTGAGATGTGTGTCCCAGTCTTGAAAGACATTTTGCACCTGGTCAAGCTCTAAGCCACACACTCTGAGCAGAAATCTTACCTGGATGGGGGCTCCAGAAGCTTCTGGTTCAGTGGAAACCTTCACCAGCTCCAGAAACATGATGGGGAGAAGCTCATTAAAATAGGCATCTCCGGGTCCTTGCTTGTAACAAGCTGCAGATTTCATGTGTCAGGGAAGCGCTTCACCTGTGGGGAGGTTGGGTAGGACTTTCCAGCCACCCTCAGCCCTTCTCTAGCACCATGCCACTCCCAAAAATGAGAAGCCACACAACAGCATCAAAGGTGGGGAGCCCTTTAACAGTAGATAAAAATCATGACAAGTGGGGTGAATGCAGGAAATTTTTCACCGTCGCATTCTTCACTACCACAAAGTCTGCACTGGACAAGGTCTTGATGAGTGTAGCAAATGTCGGAAAGCCTTTGGCTACAAATACGGACTTTTTCAGCACCAGTGAATTAACATGGAAGAAAGGTAGTGAAGTTGAGTGTAGTGCATGAGAAATTCTTTAGCTGAAAAACCCCACCTGATTAGACACTAGAGAGGTCACACTGAAGCAAACTCTTATAGGCACACTGAAGGTGGAAAATCTGCCCTCATTTAACACCAAAGAGTTCACAGTGGAGAAAGGTCATTTGAGTGAAGTGAATATGGGAAATCCTTTTGCCAAAGCTCTGACCTCTTTCAGAACAGGAGGGCTCACACTAAAGCAAGTTCGTGTGGATGCAGTGAATGTGGGAAATTATTTAGTTTCTTTTTTTCTTTTTTTTTTTTTTGAGATGGAGTCTCACTCTGTTGCCCAGGCTGGAGTGCAGTGGCACGATCTCAGCTCACTGCAACCTCTGCCTCCTGGATTCAAGTGATTCTCCCACCTCAGCCTCCCAAGTAGCTGGGATTACAGGCATGTGCCACCATGCCAGGCTAGTTTTTGTATTTTTTAGTAGAGATAGGGTTTCACCATGTTGGCCAGGCTGGTCTCAAACCCCTGACCTCAGGTGATCCACCTGCCTCAGCCTCCCAAAGTGCTAGGATTACAGGCATGAGCCACTGTGCTCAGCAGGAAATAATTTAGTTTCAAAACCCACCTTGTTCGACACCAAAGAGTTCACAATGGAATGCAGTGATTATGGGAAATCCTTTAGCCAAAGCTCTGGTCTCTTTTGATACAGAAGGGTTCATTTGCAATGAATATGGGAAATACTTTTGCTGCAAATCTGACCTCATTTAACACTTCAGAGTTCATATAGGAGAAAGTCCTTAGATATGCAGGGAATGTGCTTTTTTTCTTGTCAATATGATAACAGTGGGGGCAAGTCTCTGTGAGAAGCCATCTGCCTGAAGTGAATCTCATATATACAAACATTCACGGATTCCCCATACATTTGAGGTATGTGAGAACCATGTGTAGCTATATACTTTCCACACCTGCTCCAGGATCTTGTCAGATTTATGTCACTGCCAGTTTCTGAGGCTAAAGCCATTTCATATCTACCACCTGGCAGATCCACATGGTATACATCAGTCACCACCCCAGTGTGCTCAGGGAAGCAGTCTTTTGTGCTCTTCCATTTGTTGGAGGAAATCATGAGTAGCCTGAGCACTTAGGGGGTTCTCATTCCCTTCTCTCTGACTATTTAGGGCATGGACCTAACCCAGTTTTGGCCCAGAGGACCTGTGTTCTCCTGGCAGTTTGCAGAGAAGAATGTTGTTTGGTCTCTGGTGATGTTTGTGATATTTTTCAGCTTCCACATCACCAAATCAGGAACTGCCCACTGTACATTGCACTGATTTGTGCAATAATAGAGACTTTTTTAAAAGTATCTTTAATCTTTGAAATTCTATTCACTGCGGGGTAGTTTAAAAGCATAGTACGACTGCCAGCTTGGAAAGACAAATAACTTTTGTAATGATTCAAACTCTGTGTGCCTCAAAGGGGACAATATGATAGCAGAGTATAGCCTTTGCTCCAGCTTTGGCCTAGTTTACATGGTTGCCAGGGCCTCCTGGAAAAGACTGCAGAGCTTTGTAGTCCTGATTTTTTGCCTGGATACCCGAGTTCCGCAGGCTCAGAAGTCAATCTGAGCAGAGGGCAATTGTGACAACTCCAGTGCTTCTGGAGACAGCAAGATTTTTTTCTTGTTCATAGGGAATATCACATAATTCCCAGTAATGTTGGGGAATCCCTTACTCTGCTTCTGCAAAGGAGCAATGTGCCCTGAAACCCAGAATTCAGTAGGCTAGTGTGCTTTGGATGAAACTCTTTGACTTTCATTATCAACTCTGCTGGTGCTACTGCCCTCAGCAGCTGAGAGGCTAGGACAAAAGAGCACCAGCATATGATCCACCTGAATGAGTCCCTTCGGGGGATCAGGGACAGGACTGAGGGCACAGTTTCAATGACACAATCACAATGTGAAAATTTAAGAGTGTTTACTATTATAGACCTAGGGGGTACACAGGATACTTGGAGGCCACACACACACAGAAGTCAGGGAGCCTAGGCAGCAGGGGAGAGAGGGGTTCTGTGGACCAATACCTTCAGTGAGTTCTGGGCATTAAACAAACAGGTTTCTCCTGGGGAGCTTTAATTGGTGGGTTTAAAGCAAGCAGGCACTCATTCTAGGAAGTCATGCTGTGACTGAGATGTGGTCATTTTAAGTGCACTGCCAAATGTCTGAATGGTCTATTAAGGGAGGGGGTGGGAAAGTAGGGAACCCAGCTTGCTATGCAGGAAAAATATTTATCTCTGCTCACCTACTTCATGGAGCCACCTGGGTGGGGTAGAGTATTGGAAACTGCCTCAAGGGTGACTGAGCCCTGTTTCTGGTATAAGTAAGTTAAACTGATATTTAAAATTGGATGCTGAAGCAACATAAAATTATAAGCATTCACTACCTAGTGTCACTAGTTTTAAAACTAGAGGAATCAAGGCGTCCCTAATTGGTGCAGAGACATTGGGTTGATAATAGGGAGTGGAGGAGATGGTAGCAGACAACGTGGTAGGTTCTAGATCTTCTAGATGCCCCCACTAATATCTGGTGACTGTGACTCTGCAAAATCAGTGTGTACCCCGAACTCAGCAACTCTAAAACTGTGTGTCTTGTTTAGCTGAAGTCATTGTCAGAGAAAAAAATCTAAGGGTTTTATAGATTCCTGTAGCTCCTCTTGCCTGTTTACTCCAGGCTATTGCTGCACAGGCAATAAAGGAAGGATGAAGACAAGGAAATCCTATAGTTAGGAATGTGCCTTTTGTGATCTAGCCAGCAATCCTCTGAACCCAAGTGGAAATGGCCGCCATTGTTCCCCTGTATTTCCTGCTGCTGAGACAAGGCTGTCCTCAAGGTGCAGGGAGTTAGATGTTGATGTCAATATGGCGTTGCCACATCTGATTTTCTGCAGAATGGATTATTTAGATTGTTATTTGGAACTATTTTTAAAAGTTTTATTAAGATGTAATTGACATGCAGAATTGTACATACTTAAAGTGTTCAATTTGATACCTTTTTTTTTTTTTTTTTGAGACGGAGTCTCGCTCTGTCGCCCAGCCTGGAGTGCAGTAGCGCGATCTCGGCTCACTGCAAGCTCCGCCTCCCGGGTTCACGCCATTCTCCTGCCTCAGCCTCTCGAGTAGCTGGGACTATAGGCGCCTGCCACCACGCCCAGCTAATTTTTTTGTATTTTTTAGTAGAGACGAGGTTTCACCGTGTTAGACAGGAAGATCTCGATCTCCTGACCTCGTGATCTGCCCGCCTCGGCCTCCCAAAGTGCTGGGATTACAGGAGTGAGCCACCAAGCCCGGCCACTCAATTTGATGATAAGTTTTGACACTTGTAAACCCATAATACCATCACATTAATGATAATGAGCATATCTCACCTGTATATTTTTATTATGTCCTTTTGTAATATCCTTCTGTGGTCCTCCAGGAAGCCACTGATTTTCTTTTTTTTTAATACTGTAGCGACTCATGCCTGGACCGCCATTCTAACTGGTGTGAGATGGTATCTCATTGTGGTTTTGATTTGCATTTCTCTGATGGCCAGTGATGATGAGCATTTTTTCGTGTGTCTGTTGGCTGCATAAATGTCTTCTTTTAACAAGTGTCTGTTCATATCCTTTGCCCACTTTTTGATGGGGTTGTTTTTTTCTTGTTAATTTGTTTGAGTTCATAAATTTCATTAGCTATAGGGGTAAAGTGATTTTTGGTTACATGAATGAATTCCATAGCGGTGAAGTCTGGGCTTTTGGTGTACCCATCACTGAACAATGTACATTGTATTCAATAATTAATTTTTCATCCTTCACTTCCTTCCCACCCTCCCCACTTCTGAATCTCCAATGTCCGTAAAACCATTCTGTGTGCCTTTTCATACCCATAACTTCGTTTCCATTTATAAATAATAACATGTAGAATGGAAAAACATTTCCATTCCTGGGTTACTATACTTAGGATAATGGCCTTCAGTTCTATCCAAGTTGCTGGAAAAGACATTGTCATTATTTCATACTTTTTTTGTGGCTGATTACTATTCTATGTTATGTATGTATATATGTGTGTGTGTGTATATATATACACACACACATACCATAGGACACTTAGGTTGATTTCATATCTTTGCAGTTGTGGATTGTGCTGCTATAAACATACACTTGCAGGTGCTTCTTGATATAATGACTTCCTTTGGGTAGACACACTCAGCAGTGGGATTGCTCAATTGAATGGTAGATTTATCTACTTTTAGTTCTTTGAGAAATCTTCATACTGTTTTCTATAGAGATTGTACCAATTTATATTTCCACCAGCAGTGTATAAGCCTTCCCTTTTCATCACTTCTTTGCCAAATCTGTTGGTTTTTGACATTTAAATAATAGTCATTCTGATTGGTACAAGGAGGTATCTCATTGTGGTTTTAATTTGCATTTCCCCAAAGATTAGTGACCTTGAGCTTTTTTTTCATTTTTTTTGCCCATTTGTATATCTTCTTTTAAGAAATGTCATTTATATCATTTGTCCACTTTTTATTGGGATTATTTGTTTTGTTTTTGCTGATTTCTTTGAGTACCTTGTAGATTCTGGATATTAGTCCTTTTTTGGATGGATAGTTTGCAAATATTTTCTCTGATTCTCTAGATTGTTTACTATGGTGATCATTTCTTTTTCTCTGCAGAAACTTTCCAGTTTAATTAGATCTCATTTATTTATTTTTGTTTTTGTTGCCTTTGCTTTGGAGTCTTAGTCATAAATTCTTCACTAGAATGCCCAGAAGAGTTATCCCTAGAGTTTCTTCTAGAATTTTGATGGTTTCAGGTTTTAAATTTAAGTCTTTAATCCATCTTGAGTTAATTTTTTGTATATGATGAGTGATAGTGATATCAGAAGTGATATTAGAAGATAGTTTTATTCTTCTAAATATGGCCATCCAATTTTCCCAGGATCATTTATTGAATAGGGTGTCTTTTCCCCAGTGTAGTTGCCTGCTTTGTTGGAGATCAGTTGGTTTTCAGAATTCAGCTTTATTTCTGGGCTCTCTATTCTTTTCCATTGGTCTATAGGTCTAACTTTTATACTAGTACCATGCTGTTTTGGTTAATATAGCCTTGTCTTATGATTTGAAGTTAGATGATGTGATGGTTTCTGATTTGTTCTTTTTACTTAGGATTGTTTGGGCTATTTGGACTTTTCTTGTTCCATGTGAATTTCAGGATTACTTTTTCTAATTCTGTGAGAAATGACATTGGTATTTGGATAGCAATTGCATTTAGTCTGTTGATTACTTTGGGCAGTAAGGTCATTTTCCATATGGTTGTGTCATCTGTGATTTCTTTCATCAGTGTTTTGTAGTTCTTGAAAATATTTTTTACCTACTTGGTTAAGCATATTCCTAGGTGTTTTGTTGTTGTTGTTACAGCTATTGTAAATGGGATTGAGTTCTTGATTTGATTCTCAGCTTGGTTGTTATTGGTGTACAGCAGTGCTGCTGATTTGTGTATGTTGATTTGTAACCTGAGACTTTACTAAATCCATTAATCAAATCTAGGAGTCTTTTCAAAGAGTCTTAATGGTTTTTAGGTATAAGATCATATTATTGGCAGAGATAGTTTGACTTCCTCTTTTTCAATATGGATGCCCTTTATCTTTCTCTTGCCTTATTGCTCTGGTATGTTCCTTCTATGCCTAGTTTGTTGACATTTTTATCATAAATCAATGCCGATTTTATTAAATGCTTTTTCTGCATCTACTGAGACAATCATATGGCTTTGTTTTTCATTCTGTTTATGTGGCAAAGCAGATTTATTTACTAGTATATGTTAAACTATCCTTGCATCCCTTAGATAAGCCCCATTTGATCATATTAATTATCTTTTTGATGTGCTATTGGATCAGATTGATAGCATTTTGTTAAGAATATGTGCATTGTTATTTATCCAGGGATATTGGTGTGTAGTTTTCTTTTTTGTTATGCCCTTTCCTGGCTTTGTAGAATGAGTTAGAGAGGATTTCTATTTTTTCAGTCTTTTGGAATAGTTTCGGTATGATTGGTGCCAATTCTTCTTTGAATGTCTGCTAGAATTTGGCTGTGAGTACATCTGGTCCTGGGCTTTTGTTATGGTTAATATTGAATGTTAATTTGACTGGATTGAAAGATGCAAAGTATTCTTCCTGGGTGCATCTGTGAGGCTGTTACTAAAGGAGATTAACATTTGAGTCAGTGGACTAGGAGAGGCAGACCCATCCTCAATCTGGGTAGGCACCATCCAATCAGCTGTCAGTGCAGCTAGGATAAAAGCAGGCAGAGGCTCATGGAAAGACTAGACTGGCCTGAGTCTTCCGGCTTCCATGTTTCTCCCATGTTGGATGTTCCTGCCCTTGAACTTCAAACTCCAAGTTCTTCAGATTTTGGACTCTTGGACTTACACCAGTGGTTTGCCAGAGGCTCTCAGGCCTTTGACCACAGACTGAAGGCTGCACTGTCGGCTTCCCTACTTTTGAGACTTTGGAACTAGGACTGGCTTCCTTGTTCCTCAGCTTGCAGACAGCCTATTTTTCTGTTTATTGTTATAATTATACTTTAAGTTCTAGGGTACATGTGCACAATGTGCAAGTTTGTTACATATGTATACATGTGCCGTGTTGGTGTGCTGCACCCATTAACTTGTCATTTAGCATTAGGTATATCTCCTAATGCTATCCCTCCCCCCTCCCCCCACCCCACAACAGGCCCCGGTGTGTGATGTTCCCCTTCCTGTGTCCATGTGTTCTCATTGTACAATTCCCACCTATGAGTGAGAACATGCAGTGTTTGGTTTTTTGTCCTTGTGATAGTTTGCTAAGAATGATGGTTTCCAGCTTCATCCATGTCCCTACAAAGGACATGAACTCATCCTTTTTTATGGCTGCATAGTATTCCATGGTGTATATGTGCCACATTTTCTTAATCTAGTCTATCATTGTTGGACATTTGAGTTGGTTCCAAGTCTTTGCTATTGTGAATAGTGCTGCAATAAACATATGTGTGCATGTGTCTTTAGAGCAGCATGATTTATAATCCTTTGAGTATATACCCAGTAATGGGATGGCTGGGTCAAATGGAATTTCTCATTCTAGATCCCTGAGGAATCGCCACACTGACTTCCACAGTGGTTGAACTAGTTTACAGTCCCACCAACAGCATAAAAGTGTTCCTATTTCTCCACATCCTCTCCAGCACCTGTTGTTTCCTGACTTTTTAATGATGGCCATTCTAACTGGTGTGAGATGGTATCTCATTGTGGTTTTGATTTGCATTTCTCTGATGACCAGTGATGATGAGCATTTTTTCATGTGTTTTGGCTGCATAAATGTCTTCCTTTGAGAAGTGTCTGTTCATATCCTTTGCCCACTTTTTGATGGGGTTGTTTGTTTTTTTCTTGTAAATTTGTTTGAGTTCCTTGTAGATTCTTGATATTAGCCCTTTGTCAGATGAGTAGGTTGCAAAAATTTTCTCCCATTCTGTAGGTTGCCTGTTCACTCTGATGGTAGTTTCTTTTGCTGTGCAGAAGCTCTTTAGTTTAATTAGATCTCTGATGGTAGTTTCTTTTGCTGTGCAGAAGCCCTTTAGTTTAATTAGATCCTAGGCAATACCATTCAGGACATAGGCATGGGCAAGGACTTCATGTCTAAAACGCCAAAAGCAATGGCAACAAAAGCAGACAGCCTATTGTAGGACTTCACCTTGTGATCATGTGAGCCAAGACTCCTTAATAAACTCCCTTTCATATATACACCTATCCTGGTAGTCCTGTCCCTCTAGAGAATCCTGACTAATACACCTTTTTTGCTGGAATTTTTTTTTATTAGTGATTCAATCTCACTACCTGTTACTGGTCTGTTTAGAATTTCAGTTTCTTCCTGATTGAAGCTTTGGGTGTTGTATGTTTCCAGGAATTTATCCATTACCTCTAGATTTTCTACTTTGTGTGCATAGAGGTGTTCATAGTAGTCTCAAATGATCTTTTGTATTTCTGTTGTAATGTCTCTATTTTCATTTCTGATTGAGATTATTTGGATCTTATCTCTTCTGTTCTTTGTTACTCTAGCTAATGGTCTATCAATTTTATCTTTTCAAAAACCACTTTTTTCAATTTTTATTATAGCTTAAAGTATACATTTGTAGGTTATTACATGGGTAAATTATATGATACTAAGGTTTGGGATTCCAATGGTCCCATCACCCAGTTCATAAGCATAGTAACCAACAGATGGTTCTTCAGACCGTGCCAATCAGAAATTATTTTCATTACTCAGTAGTGGAATTCCTGGGCCAAATGGTAGTTCTATTTGAAGATCTTTGAGAAATACCCAAACTGCTTTACACAGTTGCTGAACTAGTTTGCACTCCCACCAACAGATTATAAGCATTTCCTTTTCTCCTCAACCTCATCCACATCTGTTGTTTTCTGACCTTTGAGTAATAGCCATTCTGACTGGTGTGCAGTGGTATCTCATTGTGGTTTTGAGTTACATTTATTTAATGATTAGTTATGTTGAGCATATTTTCATGTTTGTTGACTGCTTTTATGTATTCCTTTGCTGTTCATGCCCTTTGCCTATTTTTAATTTAATTATTACTTTATTATTTGTTCATTTGTTTAAGTTCCTTGTAGTTTCTGGACATTAGACCTTTGTCAGATGTATACTTTGTAAAGATTTTCTTCCATTCTGTAGGCTGTTTACTCTGTTGGTAGTTTCTTTTGCTGAGTAGATGCTTTTTATTTTAATTAGGTCCCACTTGTTAATTTTAGGGTTTTTTTGCCATTGCTTTTGGGGACTTCACCATAAATTCTTTGCCAAATCATATGTTGAAAAGGGTATTTCCTAGGATTTACTCTAAAATTTTTATAATTTGAGGGCTTACATTTAACTCTGTAATCCATCTGGAGTTCATTTTCATATATGGTAAGAGGTAGGGGTCCAGTTTCATTCTTCCACATACAGCTAGCCAGTTATCCCAACACCATTTATTGAATAGAGAGTCTTTTCCCTATTGCTTATTTTTGTTGATTTTGTTAATGATCAGATGGTTGTAGTTGTGCATGTTTACATCTGCCTTCTCTATACTGTTCCACTGGTCTGTGTGTCTGTTTTTGTACCACTATTATGCTATTTTCAATACTATAGCCTTATAGTATAATTTCAAGTTGAGCAATGTGATGTCTCTGGCTTTGTTCTTTTTGCTTAACATTGCTTTGGCTATTCAGGCTCCTTTTTTTTTATTCTTCAGTATAATTTTTTTTGAGATGGGTGCCACTCTGTCACTCAGGCTGGAGTGCAGTGGTGCAATCACAACTCACTGCAGCCTTGACCTCCCCAGGCGCAGGTGATACTCCTACCTCATTTTTTGTATTTTTAGTAGAGACACAGTTTTGCCATGTAGTTCAGGCTGGTTTTGAACTCCTGGGCTCAAGTGAACCACCTGCTTTGGCCTCCCAAAGTGCTGGGATTACAGGCATGAGTCATTGCGCCCGGTCTCGGGCTCTAATTAGATAATCAACATTTCGTTTAATTGGTCCAGTGTTCCAACTATTCAGATAAGACAAGCACCTCATTCCATATGCAAAAATGAAGATGTTTCATGTAGAGATTGTGACTCTATCATTCCTACAAAATGAGCTCAGAGGACACTCCTCCTGTAGGGATACGGTCAACTTACAGTGCTCCAGAAAGGCTGTCTACACCCACAGTTGCACCCACAGTTGCACCCACAGTTGCACCCACAGTGAGCTCCTGTGGGAGAAACCCCAGCTGTGTCTGCAGTGGTGGGTTAAGAGCAGAAGAACTACCCTTCTCCAAGTCCTTTCACAAGCACCACGGCTGCCTGACAGCTAGGGAAGAACCACATTTTTTCCCCACTGAGCCTAGCATTGTATTAGTGCCTCTGCTGAAAGAGGCTTCCCACAAGCAGAGAGATTTGGGACTCAAGGCCTTTACTCTGGTTTATTTTGTCCCACGGGGTATTCCCTTGGTGTGGTGCACATTCCTTCTTCTGTGAGTGGAGGCTCTGAGGGCCAGACTACCGTTAATCCATTTGTTTTAATATGTAATATTATGTTTACTTAAAATTTTCTGAATAGTTTATAAAGTTTCAATTTCCATTTTCTACAATAATTATCTGAAGTGTTTTAAATAATCTTACTGATTAGATATTTATTGTGTACATTTCCTTTGGTATTTCTGCTATCACATGCATTCTAATAAAAATGTGCATTTTTCACACACTGGAATTTCTTAGGTTTTAATTTCGTTAGCATACATATTATAAATATTTTGATTTATTCTGATTCTTGAAAGAAGAGTGGTAGTTTCCTTATGAATATGAATATACACATGATTATGAGTGTGCAAGTCCTTTTCTGGAAAAGGTTATATTTATTTTTGATAAATATATAGGTAACTAATCCATGCATAATTTGATAAGTGTATGTTTACATTTATAAGAAACTGCCAAAGAGTTTTCAAAACTGGTTGGACCAATTTAAACATTCATAACCAATGCATGAGAGTTTAAATTGCTCCATAAATTGACACTCATTTGATATTCTAAAATTGTTACTCTGTGTGTGTGAAATAGTATCTCATTGTAGTCTTAATTTGCATTTCTATTATAATTAATGCTGCAAAGCATTTTTACATGCTTAGTGCACATGCATATATCTCCCTTTTGATGTTTCTGTTCAAGTATTTTGACCATTTTTATTGAGGTGATTATCTTAAAATGATTGAGATATATATATATACAAGTCACTTACAGATATATGTATTCTAAATATTTTACCCCATGCTATTTTAAATTCTAAATTCTAAATTTCTAAATATTTTACCCCATGCTTCTGTAAGTACACAAGTCACTTACAGATATATGTATTCTAAATATTTTACCCCATGCTATTTTTGGTACATATTTTAAAGACTTTTTAAAACATTTTGAAATATAGTTTATAAATAGTACATTTTAAATGAGTAAAATATTTTAGTATTAATGAGTTAAATGTATTGACTTATATTTGTTAATGCATTTAGATATATTGATTTCATTCTATGTGATGTACTATTTATGATTCTTCTTTTTCTAGTATCTTCTCCAAAAATGTCTTTGCCCAACCCAAGATAATGAAGAAATACGTTTATATTTTTCCATAGAAATTATATATATTTAGATTTTATAATTAAGTCGGTGATCAAATTTAGAATTATTTGCATTATATTTAGTAGTTCAGGTTTTTATTTTTAATTTTTTTCAATATAGATATCTAGTTGTTCTAACTTTTTGTGAAAGTACAATACTTTCCTGACTAAATTACTTGGTTATCTTTGACAAAAATAAAGTAATATGTAGATGGTTTAAGTCTGGCCTAACTATTCAACTACATTGTACTATTTGTCTATATTTTACTGTCAGAATTACTCTGTGTTGATAAATTTTATTTTATAGTAAGTCTTAAAATCAGATAGTGTACTCATCTAGCTCTTTCAAATTGTTTTAACAAAAATTGATTTGAATATTTCAGTTTTTTGCCTTTCCATATAAATATTGTAATCAACTAGTCAATTTCTAAAGAAGAATATGGATCAAATTTTAGTTGGTGCTTCATTAAACCTATAGATCAATTTGGAACAAATTTACATGCTAAGAATATTTAGCTTCCTCATCCATGAACATGGTATAATTTCTTGCCTTATTAACCTGGCTAGAACCTCTTGGACAATGTTGAATATGGTGACATAAGTGGAAATCCTTGTCTTAGTTCTGATCTTATGGAGAAGGCACCTAATCTTTTGTCATTAGATGTGATGCTACCTGTGGGTTATTTATAGATGTATTTTATCAAGTTAAGGTGATTTACATCTATTAAGAATTTGTTGAGTGTTTTTTTTATTATACTTTAAATTCTGGGATACATGTGCAGAATGTGCAGGTTTGTTACATAGGTATACACGTGCCATGGTGGTCTGCTGCACCCATCAACCCATTATCTACATTAGGCATTTCTCCTAATGCTATCCCTCCCCTAGTCCTCCACTCTGCGACAGACCCCATTGTGTGATGTTCCCCTCCCTGTGTCCATGTGTTCTCACTGTTAGCTCCCACTTATGATTGAGAACACATGGTGTTTGGTTTTCTGTTCCTGTGTTAGTTTGCTGAGAATGATGGTTTCCAGTTTCATCCATGTCCCTGCAAAGGACACGAACTCATCCTGTTTTTATGGCTGCGTAGTATTCCATGGTGTATATGTGTCACATTTTCTTTATTGAGTCTGTCATTGATGGGCATTTGGACTGGTTCCAAGTCTTTGCTATTATGAATAGTCCTGCAATAAACATACGTGTGCATGTGTCTTTATAGTAGAATTATTTATAATCCTTTGGCTATATACCCAGTAATGGGATTGCTGTGTCAAATGGTACTTCTAGTTCTAGATCCTTGAGGAATTGCCACACTGTCTTCTACAATGGTTGAACTAATTTACACTCCCACCAACAGTGTAAAAGCATTCCTATTTCTCCACGTCCTCTCCAGCATCTGTTGTTTCCTGACTTTTAATGATTGCCATTCTACCTGGCATAAGATGATAACTCATTGTGGTTTTGATTAGCATTTCTCTAATGAGTAGAATATGATTGATATTTTAATTGCTTTTTCTGTGTCTATTGTGATGATCATGTGGGTTTTGTCTTTTATTTTATATACTAATATACCACATTATGTCTATTAAGTGCATTATAATACATGACTTTTAAATGTTAAACCAACCTTGTATTGCTGGTACAAATCTCACTTGATCATAATATATATCCCTTTCAATGTGTTGCTGGATTATTATTGCAAGTAGTTTTGAGGGGTTTTCTGTATATATTCATACGAGATGTAAATTTTCATATAGACGTGAACTCCATCCTCTGATACCTCAGGCCAGAAGACCGATGATTTCTGCCTGAGTTCTAAATGACCTGCACTGTATGTACCAAAGAGAAAACTTTGATGGAAAAGCAGTCTAAATGTTAAATTCACTCAGTTTACTTGCCTTATGTTAAATCCTTTATTTTCTGTATTTTCCCCCCTCCCATTTCTTTAAATAGTTAATTTTTTATAATTTGTACAAAGTTTATTGCTGTTATCTTCAAGGAAGCTCATCACCAGCTTGATTTCACATCTTTGCTGTTGTGAATAGCGCTGCAATGAACATACGAATACGTATGTCTGAAGGATTGGATAAAGAAAATGTGTTACATATATACCAGGAAACACCACGTAGCCATGAAAAGAATGAAATCATGTCTTTTGAAGCAACTTAGATGGAGCTGGAGGTCATTATCCTAAGTGAATTAATGCAAGAACAGAATACCAAATACTGCAAGTTCTCAGTTATAAGTGGGAGCTAAACACTGGGTACTCACGGAAATAAGATGGCAGCAGTAGATAGTGGGGACTCCTAGGTTGGGGGAGAGTGTGGTAAAGGTTGAAAAACTGTTGGGTACTATGCTCAGTATGTGGGTGACAGGATCATTTGTACTTCAAACCTCAGCATCACACAGTATACCCAGGTAACAAACCTACACATATATCCAAGGAGAAAAAAATTATGAACAAAATTTGGTAAATTATGCTTTTTGATTATATCTTGTTATGCATTATATTTTATTTCCTGAATACAGAATATTTACATTTATATAGTTTTTCTCAATATTGTGACTTTTACTATTTACCTAATTTTAATGTCTTAACAACATTGCGACTAATTTTTAACTCCATGAAGATGCTGTTCCCCAAAATTCTTAGAGATTTATCCTGACTGATACTATTATCAGGCATGTTTATGGGTTTGAGTCCCAGAAGATTTTATAGGAAAAACTAAAAAAAAAAAAAAAATTAAGAGAAGAAGAATGAAAGAATAGGAAAATTAACTTGTAACAAAAATAAACCCTCAGTGTAAAATTTCATATGTGAAAAAATTTAATGATAAAATTAAAATATGATGTCATAACATTAAGATAAAATTTATTTTATAAAACATTAAAATACACATGATATGAATGTATTAAATGGTAATAAAGGTATTTCCAGGAAAAAATAAGAAAATAATTGTGGGAAAAAAACTGAAATGACAATAATTGGGTGTAATAAATAAAGTGGCAAATATTTTAGAAATAAAAAATGTAATTAAAAAATAAAACTGCAATTAATATGACAAATGCTATACCAGAATAAGACAGGGAATAAACTGATAAACTTGAAAATAGTTCTTAACAATTCAATGAGAAGGCAGTGCAGAAAACCCAAAAATGTTTCAGATATTTAGGAAACAAACCATCTTGAACATGGTGCTTATATTTTTGAATTAATATTTTAAATTTACAAATTATAACTATATACATTTAAGGGGTACAGTGTAATATTTTGATACATGTATACAATGTAGAATGATTAAATCAAGCCATTAACGTATCCATCACCTTATTTACCTATCTTTTTTATGATGAGACATTTGAAAGTTACTCTCTTATTTTGAAATATACAATACATTGTTTTTGACCATAGTCATCCTGCTGTGAAAAAAATTTCATAACTTATTCTTCCTGTCGATCTTCACTTTATACCATTTGGTCAACAACTTTCTATTCCTTTCCTCTCTTTCCCCAGCCTCTGGTTATCATTCTATCCACTACTCCTATTGGATAAACTTTCTTAGATTCCACATACAAGTAAGATCGTGTGTTATTTTTCTTTCTGTGTGTGGCTTATTTCACTTGATATAATGTCCCCTAGGTTCATCCATTTTGACATAAATAGCAGGATTTTCTTCTTTTTAAAGGGTGAATACTATTTCACTGTGTATACATACCACATTTGCTTTAGCCATTCATCTTTTGATGGACACTTAGTTTCTTTTCATTTCTTACCTATTGTGAATAATGCTGCAGTGGACATAGAAGTGCAGATACCCCTTCAACATATTGATTTCAATGCCTTTGAATATATACCAGAAATGAAATTACTAAATGATATGATAGTTTACATTAGTTTTCAGAGGAACTTTCATACCGTTTTGCATAATAAGTGCACTAATTTACATTTCCACCAACAGCTACAAGCGTTCCCATTTTTCCACATCCTCGCCAGGAGTTACCTTTCATCTTTTTTATAGAAACCATTCTAATGGGTGTGAGGTGATATCCCATTGTGGTTTTGATTGGTATGTTCTTAATGATTAGTGATGCTGGGCTTTTTTTTTTTTTTTTTTTCTTGAGACGGGATCTCGCTCTGTCGCCAGGCTGGAGTGTAGTGGCACAATCTTGACTCACTGCAACTTCCACCCATGGGTTGAAGCGATTCTCCTGCCTCAGCCTACCAAGTAGCTGGGTCTACAGGCATGCGCCACCAAACCCAGCTAATTTTTGTATTTTTAGTAGAGAAGAGGTTTCATCATGTTGGCCAGGACAGTCTCCATCTCCTGACCTCGTGATTCACCCGCCTTGGCCTCCCAAAGTGCTGGGATTAAAGGTGTGAGCCACTGCGCCTGGCCTGATACTGGGCATTTTTTTCATGTACCTGTTGGCCATTTGGATTTCTTCTTTTAAGAAATGTCTGTTTGGGACCTTTGCCCATTTTCTAATCAGGTTATTTGTTTTCTTACTATTGAGTTGTTTGAGTTCTTTATATATTTTGGATATTAATCCATTATAAGATGTATGGTCTTTGATGTGATGTTTATATTAAGGAGATACAAATTTTATCTAACAAATCTCAGAAGAACAAAATGGAACACATGCTGGAGAAAACTATTTGAAATATAAGCAAAGAATTTCCTAAAATTAAAGAAATATGTAAGTCTTCAGTTTGAACATTTTTTTAAGAACAGAGCAAGTATTTATGTGGGAAAATACTTAACATATGTATGTATTGAAAGTAAATGCTGAAAATCAAGAATTAATATTAACAGACATTCTTAAAGACTATAAGGAAAATTACAGATTTTCAACAGTATTTTTAAATAAAACTTACCAGTTGATTGTCAATGTTAATATATAAATGGAAAGTGCCATGAAAAACAAATATATTTAATGAAAAGAAGAACATGTTAAGGGGGTTGCTCTAACAGATATCAAAATAATCATAATGGCTTACATACTAAAGCATTGTGATTAGTGCAGCAATAAACATAAAGATCAATATAAGCCATATACAGACTCACACACTTTTACAAACTTGATAGATGACTAGCCATACATTACAGATAAGGGGAGAAAGGAATAATATTTTTTATTTATTCACTTTTTTATTTTTATTTTATTTTATTTAAGTTCCAGGATACACATGCAGAATGTGCAGGTTTGTTACATAGGTATACATGTGCCATGGTGGTTTCCTGCACCTATCAATCTGTCATCTAGGTTTTAAGTCCTGCATTAATTATGTATTTGTCCTAATGCTCTCTCTCCCCTTGCTTCTGAGCCCCTGATAGGCCCCAGTGTGTATTGTTCCTCTAAAAAGGAAGGATATTTTAAAAATATATCAGAATGAACCAGGCAAGGTGATTTGAGCTTGTAATCCCAGCTACTCAGGAGGCTGAGTGGGGAAGATTGCTTGACACCAGGAGTTTGAGACCAGTCTGAGCGACATAGTGAGACCCTACCTTTAAAAAACAATTTTTTTTTAAGTAGCTGAGTATGATGGCATGGGCCTGTAGTTGTAGCTACTCAGGAAGCTGGGCGGAGAGATCAATTGAGCCCAGAAATTTGAGGCTACAGTGAGCTATGATCACGCCACTGTGCTCCAGCCTAGGTGAAAGAACAAGTCCCCGACTCTAAAATTAAAAAAATAAATAAAATATTAGAGTGACTCTCTATTCAAAACGAAATTGTATCTGTACTGGCACTCTGTACAAAAATCAATTCTAGATTAATTAAAACATAAATGAGTAAGGAAAACTTTGATATTAAAGGAGAATTTTTTTTCATATTGGCGTAAGTAAAATTTTCTTCAACAGACCACAAAACATTAATTCATTAAGAAAAATATTATTTCAACTGTATTAAAATTAGTGGTCAATTCATTTTAGAGAGTGAAAATTTGAACCAAAGAGTGAAAAAAGATACTTGCCATCTACATCATTGTTATCAAATGTGTAACAAAACACCTACAGATAAATTATAAAAGACAAGCAGTAAAAATATGGGGAAAAGGCAAAAAGATAAATTTTATGATAGGGAAAATCTGGATTAAAAAATAAATTACATGTATGACCTAAAAAGTATACCTTTTATACGACTGTATTGGCAAAATCTTAAAATCCGATACTATAAAATGATGGTTATGATGGAAAGCAATGGGAACCCTCAGAGTCTGTAAGTTGGAGTATGAATTGCGAAAACCATTTAGAAAACCTTTTTGGGTTAGCTAGCAAAAATAAAGAAACATGTGCCCTATAAGAATATTATTTTCTTATAAGAAACATACACGCAATTACAACAATTTGCATATAAAAGCAAAAAGTGAACAAAACATATGTCCATTGTCAAGAGAAAGACTAGAATTTATATATTCACTCCACTGAATACTCTACAATGCCTAAAATGAATGAAAAGAAGTATTTACATAAACGTACATAACACAAATGTAATATTGAGCATTATAAACAAACAATATTGAAATCAATGAAAGGATTTCTACCTCCATAAAGTTTTAAACATGCACACAAACTTTATAATGTCAATGATATATTCCTATATAGTTATGGTGTAAAACGTGTGGAAATAATAAATAGTGAATTCAAGACCCTGATTCTAATTTAAATGTTAAATTTTCTCCTTTTTGAAAAAGGAGCAAAAGGAATTAAAGCAAAAGAAAAACTTTTACTACAAACAAATGTGTTCTTTTTATAATTCTTTAGTTTTTACTCTGCTTAATTACATAATAAGAAATTTGTTTGAAGACAAAAATAAAAGTGGCAGACCCTGGAGTTTGGAGTGTTTTGAGTATTCCTTCTTAATACATGTGTTGCTCTGCCTCCCTTCTGGTTTATGATGCTTACCTGCTTCATGTATTAGTTTCTGATTGCTGCTGTAACAAACTGCCACAAACTTAGTGGCTTAGAACCAAACAAATATATTTCAAATTTTGATGAAGCTCAATTTAATTTGTTTTGTCAATCAGCCCTGCTCTAGATGATAATTTACCAGAGAATAAGAATCACACATATATGCATGTGTGTATTTAAATTTAAAAATTATTTCTCTGTTTTAATTCTTTTATCTGCAAAAATTGTATTTTGCCTAGCTCTAAATCAATGAGCACACAAAGTTCTTCCTAATAGCACATACCTATGAAAAAAAAACAAACAAAAAGAAGGTAAGAAAAGGGAATAGAAATGAAAAAAATAGGAGAAGAAAAGAGAAGAAATGAAAAGCTACTTTTCTTAAAGAACTTATTATGCATTAGGTGCCATATCATTTCTGTAAAATTTCCTCAGGACTTTATAAAGTAGGGACAATTATTTCCACTTGCAGTTGTAAAAACTCCAGGTTTTAAGTAGCTCATCTCAGGTTGACACGGTAATACAGTAGACCTTACAGATAGAGATCAAACCTAGCTCTACTTCTTTTAGACTTCAATAAGCTGCCATGTGAAAGGACACTATCAAACAAATAAGAAAAATCTTGGGAATTATAATGATACACTGGACATGACTCATTTATCTATTCAGTTATACTCTTAAAAGTTAAATAAAGAGCTAAAGTTTCTTGAAATGCATTTTTAAATCCCTTGCTAAAGCATCCTGATTATTGACTTCATTCAACTCAAAGAATTATTTTAAACTAAATCCATAGAAAGTATACTTCTTTCTTCACTTACAAAGCACCAAGTTTTAAAACTAAATAAGACTTTCTTCCTCTGTATAACTTGAGCAAAAGAGACATCTAACTCAATACATTAGAGATTACCTATTAAGAGAAGCAATATAATAAAGAACACTGATGTTAGAAATATTCTCTGAAAGGAAACATAACCAGAAAGTTTAAAAACAATAATAAAAATTAGTCCTCATTCTCATACACCAATGATATGTGTGAAAAATATCTTTGCATTGAAGCCTGTACATGTTGATGCAACAGAGTCACATAAGCCAGGCTTTGTTTTATTTTTATTTTTTTCTGTTTGGACGTAGTCTATGAGAAATTACACTACTCTTAAAAATTTATACTATTCTTTTTATTTTTAAGTTACAAATATTAAGAATTATTCTCTTTTGTTCACTACCAAGAAAACAATAATGTCTTTATAGAAGACAGTCTATAATTTGACAATTCGTATTGTATTTGAATTTCTACATTTATGTGCTCTTATATTTATTGTCCTCAATTGCATACATTCATTAAAAAAGTACTTATATTACAAGAACAATAAAAAAGTTAACCTTGCTATCCTTCACCTAGATTTTACTTATCGTCTCTTGATGTATTTCTCATTAATTTACTTTTAACTCCAGAATATGTTGTTCTGTGTCTTTCTTAATATATTATTGAGAATAACATCGAAAACCTTTTGGATACACAGGAAAAATTTGAGAAATTTAAAAAAAGAAATACATATAGTTATATTTTATAATGTAAAGTTTTAGTTGAGTTTAATTTTTTCTGTCTCAGAAACATATGTTATACATTACTTAGTTCTGCAATGATACCATATGATTTAGCTTTGATTAAATAATAATTACACAATTTCTCTGGAAAATACAGTACTGTAGTCTACCTCACAAACAGTGAAAATTAATAGTACATTCCTAATTTAAAAGTAAGGGATAGAGTCTGACAGATCCTTACCACTGAAGAAGTACATTCCAATTTTTTTTAATTTTTATTTTAAGTTCTGGGATATATGCACAGTGTTACATAGGTATAAGTGTGCCATGGTGGTTTGCTGCACCTATCAACCCGTCGCTCAAGTATTAAGCCCAGCATATATTAGCTATTTGTCCTGATGCTCTCCCTCCCCTCGCACCCTGCCCCCCAACCCAGACAGGTCCCGTGTGTGTTGTTCCCCTCTCTGTGTCCATGTGTTCTCATTGTTCAGCTCCCACTTATAAGTGAGAACATGCGGTGTTTGGTTTTCTGTTCCTGTGTTAATTTGCTGAGGAGGATGGTTTCCAGCTTCATCTATGTCCATGTGAAGGACATGATCTCATTCTTTTTATGGCTGTGTAGTATTCCATGGTATATATGTACCGTATTTTCTTTATCCAGTCTATCACTGATGGACACTTGAGTTGGTTCCATGTCTTTACTATTGTGAATAATGCTGCAATAAACCTATGTGTGCATGCATCTTTATAATATAATGATTTATATTCTTTGGGCTACATACCCAGGAATAGGATTGCAGGGTCAAATGGTATTTCTGGTTCTGATTCGTTGAGGAATCGCCATACTGTCTTCTACAATGTTTGAACTAGTTTACATTCCCATCAATGGTGTAAAAGTGTTCCTATTTCTCCACAGCTCCACCAGCATCTGTTGTTTCTTGACTTTTTAGTAATAGCCATTCTGACTGGTGTGAGGTGGTATCTCACTGTAGTTATGATTTACGTGTCTCTAACAATCAGCGATGTTGAACTTTTTTCATGTTTGTTGGCCACATAAATGTCTTCTTTTGAGAAGTGTCTGTTCATGTCATCTAAAACCAATGAGAACAAAGAGACAATGTACCAAAATCTCTGTGTTAAGAGGGAAATTTATAGCACTAAACACCTACATCAGAAAGCTTGAAAGATCTCAAATCGACACCCTAACATCACAAATAAAAGACCTAGAGAAATAAGAGTGAACAAATCTAAAACGTAGCAGACAAGAAATCACTAAGATCAGAGGAGAACTGAAAGAGATAGAGACACACACACACACACACACACACACACACACACACACACACACAAGCTTCAAAAAATTGATAAACCCAGGAGCTGGTTTTTGGAAAAACATAATAAAATAGATTAATAAAATAATATTAATAAAATAGAAGACCGCTAGCTAAACTAATAAAGAAGAGAAGGGAGAAGAATCATACAGGTACATTCTAATTTTTTAAAGAAAAACTATTTTTTAATGAACTAGCTATTAAGAAAACATATATGTATGTTTAAGTACTTAAAGCATGTTATATTATAATATGTTTATATAGTATATATTATGTATATATAAAAATACTTGTTTTTTTAAATTTACAAATATAATATCCTACCTCAGGTCACCATGGGTTTATTTGTGCTAATGAGAAGCAGTCTATTTAGCAGGTTTCCATGATATTTTTCAAGCCAATATTAAAACAGGACCTAGGCAGAGTAATCCAAGTTACTTTTAATAAATTAGTCCAGAATTTTTATTTTTTTATTTTTTATTTTTATTTTTATTTATTTATTTTTTTGAGACGGAGTTTTGCTGTGTCGCCCAGGCTGGAGTGCAGTGGTGTGATCTCAGCTCAGTGCAAGCTCCACCTCCGGGGTTCACGCCATTCTCCTGCCTCAGCCTCCCGAGTAGCTGGGACTACAGGCGCCCGCCACCACGCCTGGCTAATTTTTTTTGTATTTTTAGTAGAGACGGGGTTTCATCGTGTTAGCCAGGATGGTCTTGATCTCCTTACCTCATAATCCATCCACCTCGGCCTCCCAAAATGCTGGGATT